>NC_000010.11:47870368-48021883 GCF_000001405.40 Homo sapiens
GAATTCACTGCCAAATAAATGGAAATATGAGAAAAATCTCAAAACCAAAAAGCCTTAAGCATCTTAAGACCCACAAAGAAGAAGAAATAGCATTCATAAAAAGTAATTATAAAATAAACCCAGGAAGGTATAAATTAAGAACAGATTGGCTCTGAAAAAAAACTGAGTAGAAATCTAGGTATAAAAACTATGATAATTAAATCAATAGATGAGCTAGTCAAAGATACAATTTGCGAATGGAAAACTAAAAGCAGCTCACAGATAGAAGGAGATGAAACTATGGAAGAGAACTTAAAAAATGGCTGAGTTTTAACAACCAATGTTCTGAAGGAGAAAATGTGGAGAGAATGGTAGAGAAGATACAGTAGAAGGAGTGGTAGAATGACATGACCGAGAATTTTCTACAGGTTAAGAAAAGGTGTGACTTCAGAGTAAAAGCATGCATAGAAAGGTCAGCAGGACAAACAAAAGGAAATTTCGAGAGAGACCCCAGAGCAGGTTAGCACTGCCCCTCCCTCCCCACTTTCTGCAACATCATCCCTTCCTTCTCTTTTGTAGCACTTGGGACACTTGTCGTGATTGTTCAAGGGCTGGCCTGGTTCCATATGTGTCTGCATGTCACATGCAGCAAGTGGTCTGGTACCTGGCCTTTGGGACATGCTCAATAAACACGTCAGTAGACAGTTGAGTAACTGATGGATAAGTAGGTCAGTGCCGGGAGAAACCAGGTGCACATGTTCCAGCGTGCGGCCAGGGGGCAGGGGCATCTAAATCACTGCCATGGAGTCTGGGAAACAGCCATGGACAAAATCCACGGCCCCCTCTGGTTGGGCTGGACAGGCCCGGCTGTCCACATGGAGGGCTGCTCCAGGTGCTGAGCCTGAGAGGTGCCCTCTAGATGAAGCTCATTCGGGCAGGTTTGGCCTTAGCAAGGGAAGGAAGTAGGAGGACCAGCTCCTCCATGAGATCTTTCTGGCTTCCCGGCCTGGAGAGCAGCTGGCCCAATAGATGCACAAACGCACTGTCTACAGATATGTAATTTGAGATGGGTTATTAATAGAATAATCTTAATAAGAGCACGATCAACCAGTATTGATACAGCACTTTATGGGTTCCAAAGTGCTTTCACATTTGTAATATCATCGAATCTTAACATCCCGAGAGGATGTCAGTTTTGTACGCATTTTATAGGCTGGGAAACGAAGTCTGGAG
This sequence comes from Homo sapiens, assembly GCF_000001405.40. Lineage (NCBI taxonomy): Eukaryota > Metazoa > Chordata > Mammalia > Primates > Hominidae > Homo > Homo sapiens. The sequence continues at coordinate 47,871,581 of NC_000010.11, forward strand.
AATTGAAAGCCTGGGGACCCTGTGCTCCTATGGGGACAGATTCTGGGCACTGAGCTCACCCTCTGGCCATGATCCTGTGTGCCCTTGCCAGCTCCCTGCCTGTCCCCTCCTTGTCTGGGCAGAGGTTGGGCTGCCAGTGGCCTTTGCTCTCCAGAAACAAAGGGTTTACTGAGTACTTGAATAATATATACAGCAGAGCAGGGCGTATTTGATGGCTTCCCAGGAATAAGCTGTCTTTGACATTTTCAGACACAGAGCAGGACTTCCCTATTGCCTCCACAGAGTGGGTCGTATGTAGGGGGTGTGTCGGAGCCAGAGCAGATCAATTTGGGGTGGGGTCCCTTCTCAGAGAGGTAAGGAAGAGACGGTACAAGCCTTGCTTCCTGCTCTACATCCAGGTACAGCATTCAAGGCTATATTGCTAGCATTTCATACACACCCTTGAATTTTGTTCCTTTCCTTCACACATGAATTCAGTGTAGTGGCTTAAGACCTAGGGACATACAACAGAGGGGAAGGACTTCTTTGGGCACCCCTGAAAACCCATGCTGTCATTCCAATTGTGTTGCTCTTGAGTGTAAGCCCTTCCACTTTAGTGTTTTTCACTATTTTAATAAAACCAGGGGAAAATAAACCATTGGAGCAATGAACAAATGCTGCTGTACAGACATGGAAGTCTTTCTGCCTGGATCTGCTGGCCCATGCAGAGCTCAACACCTCCCCGTAGCTGTGAGCAAAAGTCTGAATCAGGCATATGCAAGACTGCATGTGAGATATATTCAGGGCAGGTCATTCGAAAGCAGAACACGACACGTGGAACTCAGTGACAGCTTGTGTTTCCAAAACATTCATTTATAACAATGGACCTACTTGTGAATTACTCATTCAGCAAACATTTATCATATGCCTTCTGTATGCCAGGCACTGAGACACATCTGGCTGCTTGGGAATGACTGAGACCCCACCCACAAGAAGCTCACAGCCAGGTCAGAGAACTCATGCAGGGTAGAAAGTTCTGTGATGCGACTGAAGCTTAGCACTATCTATAAGGCATGGTTGCTGAGTGAGGTGCTGTATCTCAACGCATTTCTGTATACGTATCCTGAAATTTAGCCTGGACTTTCCCAGTTTCATCTGTATTATATCAGTGTAGCTTTGCTTGCAGAGAAAGTGCTACTTAATATCAGAAATGGGAAGAATCAGCAGAAAAAAAAGTGGACATGCAGTTAGTCACCTTCTGGGCAGCTGGGAAGGGGAGAGAGGCAGGGGAGGTGGGTGGGAGAAGAGACAGGCAAGACTCCGGGACCAGAGGCTAAACCACTTTCCACTGCGGGGCTAGAACATGGCATACGTGATTTCATTTTCTGGGGTTTATTTGAAAGATTACTCTTGGTCTGAGTATGCCTGACAGTTGCAGAATAGAATGAATCCCTTTCGTTTGCTTGTTTGAAAATCATGATGTCTCTTTCGGCAGATCTGTGTTACCTGGCCTTCAGTTGCGATGCTTGGTTTCCCCCTGTGTCTACCTGAGGAAATCCTGCTCAGCCAATATGCCCTCCTCTGGGAAGCCGCCTCTCACCTCCGAAGGCCGAGTGGTGTCAGTGGTCCCCTGGTTCGTGCCTCTCCTGGGGCATTTAGCACGTCCTAGAGCTGACTGTTCATTCCTGGGGCTCCGCTTTGAGGCGATGAGTCTGTGGGGGGCCTCCTCACAGTCTCCTCTGGCTGTTTGCGTGTTGCCTCCCCAGCCCTCGTTTCTTTGCAGGTTACCTTCCTTGCCTTGTTTTTCCCATTGCTGTGGACTCTGGTTTTTGATAGCTTATGAGGCATTGGGGGCTTCCTCCCAAATTTACCTTTGTGTCTGGCTTCCCCACGTGATGGGGAGCCCCTGAGGGCAGGGCCATGGCAGTGTCATCTCCCCATTCCCAGGGCCCAGCACAGAGGGAGTGAAATCTGAGCTGCGATAAGCTGACTCAGGATGGCAGTGCCTTCTGCCCTAGGATGGGGGACCCACTTCTTCTTGAGAGCAGAGACCTTCCTTCCTCATAATCCAGCCCATCCCCAGCACCCAGTTCAGTGCCCAGGACAAGACTGCAGGGGACCTTGGCTGAAGGAAAAGGCATTGAAGGAATGGAGGCATTAGGGCCCTTGCTTTGAGACAAGGGTGGTTATTTTGTGCCTGACCTGGTTTCCTGTGGACAGGTCAGAGCACTTCAGGGACAGCAGGCTCCGTGCAAAGGGGCAAATGTGGACAGCAAAGCCTGCCAGGACAGCGGCTCCTCTGAGCACCCGGTGCATTCCTGCTAAGTGCTTCTTGAAGCCTCATGCCCAGGCATTCCCCGCGTGGGATGCAGATGCACCCCTGGCCCTGCAGTGTGGGAGTGCAGGGACAGTAGATCACTGCTGGACAGTTTCCTCACACCACCCGTTGCCCACGATCCAGAGGGCTCAGGCTGAGGCCGCCTCTCCACCACCTCACAGAAACCAGTGGCCATGGATTATCCGGACGTGGTGGCTATTTGGCCGTGACAGGCAATCACCTTACTGTGCAAACTGGGCCATGCCATCTGGCCTCTCTGAGCCTATTTCTTATACATAAAAAGGGATTGATGGCTGGGCATGGTGGCTCATGCCTGTAATCCCAGCACTTTGGGAGGCCAAGGTGGGCAGATCACGAGGTCAAGAGATTGAGACCATCCTGGCCAACATGGTGAAACCCTGTCTCTACTAAAAATACACAAAAATTAGCTGGGTGTGGTGGCATGCACCTGTAGTCCCAGCTACTTGGGAGGCTGAGGCAGGAGAATTGCTTGACCCAGGAGGCAGAGGTTGCAGTGAGCCGAGATCACACCACTGCACTCCAGCCTGGGCAACAGAGCAAGACTCCATCTCAAAAAAAAAAAAAAAAGGATTGATAGTAAATTTTATCCTTGCCTGGCCTCCAACAGGCTGCCAGGCCACCTCCCTTGGTCTGCAGCTCACAGAAGGCTGTCCTTACATGGTGACCAGTCCACACTACCAAGGCCTGGCCAGAGAACGAGCACGTGGAGGCCTTGGTGGAAAGTGGATAATGCCGTGAAGTTTTCACATGGGTAATTTTGGATTTGATTTGTGGGGACAGGGGGAATCTAATTTTCTGTTAAATGTTTGTACATTTCTTTCTTTATATTTAAAATAACACAATTCAATGGGATTTGACTTATTGTCTGTTTTTGAATTGTCTTATAGCTCTCAGATTTTTCACATTCTAAGACTGGCCTGCATCTGCCGCTCACCTCCACGAACCACTTGAGGAACTGGCGTAGCTGTGAAGTCCAGCTCAGAGTGTATTTGAGAACTCCTCTTTTTTTCTGGCTTACACATCAGTAACGCAGATCCCATTTTTAGATGTCCTCACTTCTGTGTGTGTATGGTTTTTAAATTAAGGAAACATATAAGAGTGTTTAAATTTGAGATAATTAAGTAAGTATCTCATTCCCTGCAAACAGCAGGCATCACTGGGTTCAGAATCAGCCAACTGTAGCTGCTGACTTCAGGGCCTGTCAGCTGGCTGGCCTGAGTTGGGGACAAGATCCATAGTTACTTGGAGTAACTTGCAAACATGCATCACAAGACTTAACATACAATGGTCATGCTGATAAGGAGTATTGTTTTCCTTTCTACCCCGGGGAGGGCACTGTCTTTAACGGGGAAGGCCTGTAGCTCCGTTTGGACGTACATGACTGTATTCTGCATTAACCTGTTCCAGTGAGGCTCTGGTGGCCCCTACAGCCTGGTTCTTGGGCAGAGACCTGGTTTGTAGTGTCCTGTGTGATCCTGGGCCTGCCCATGGGGAGCTGGACTGGCTTATGTCTGAAAGAGGCACTGGTGGTGCATTAGTGTTTCTGTCTATTTCAGAGGCGCTTTCTTCCCTCCCTTCTCCCAGTGTTTCTGGCTGCCTTTTGCAGTCCCTGAAGTTTTTCTCAGGGTCAGTGTGTAGTGAGAAATCAGCCTCAGGGCTGAGATGGACTCTTAATTCTGGACGCCTGTGTCTGTGGCTCTGTCTTAAGCTAGTGGGGCCCAGAGAGGATGTTGGCATGACTCTAAGTGGAATGTCTGCAGCCGGCGTTCTGGATTTTACTGCCCAGTAGAGGTGGAATGCTCCTGTGGTCCTCAGTGAGATTGGGAAGTTCATAGCCCTCCAGCATTGCTGTGGGTGAGTTGACTGCTTCAGGGGCCACTGGATCTTGTCTGGTATGCCCACTGTCAGTCCACCTGTGTATCAGCCCAGCCTCATCAGCATTTACAGAGCACTTACTGTGTGCTAGGTGCTGAATGCAAAGACAGAAACAAAGCATGCCCTGCTCATAGGTCAGTAGGAGAGAGATAGAAGCTGTCTTGGTTTGTTTTGTGTTGCTATAAAAGAATACCTGAGGCTGGGTAATTCATAAAGAACAGAAATTTATTTCTTATAGTTCTGGAGGTTGGGAAGTCCAAATTGAGGCAAGCCACAGACCTTCCTCAAACAGGCACCAGCCTGGTGTGGAAGACAGATATATATGTATGCGTGTGTGTGTGTGCGCACACAACACGGGAAAATTTAAAAGCATTCCTGAACTCTGCCCCACACCCTGTGAATCAGAATCTCTGAACCAGGTTATTATTTGCAAATAAACAAAGCTATAAGAAGCCACATAAAACAAATGCATGGCTTAATGGATTTTTACAAGAGTAAAGCTTTGTAACCACCACCTAGACTAAGAAACAGAACTTTGTCCAGAGGCACCTCCTCACTCTCTTCTCCAAAGTCACCACTACCTTGACTTACAGTAGACACTCCTTTCCTTTGCTTCATAGTCTAATTATTACCCACATGTATATCCCTACACCCTATAATTAAATCTCACTTATTTTATAAAAATACATCTTTTAAAAGTTGGTTAATACACAGGTTTTCCTACCCCCTCCCAAGACCCAGGTCATTTGATCTGTAGAGTTTCCAATAGTCTGGATTTTGCTGACTGCACTCTCATGGTGCTATTCAACATGTCCCCTGTCCTCTGTGTTTCCTGTAAATTGGTAGCTCATCCATGTTCCAGCATGTATCAGTACATCATTCCTTTTTATGGCTATTATTCCATTGTATATCACAATTTGTTTATCCATTCATTTGTTATGGAAATTTGGGTTGTTTCCACCTTTTGGCTATTGTTCATAGTGCTGCTATAAAGATACATGTACTTGTTTGAGTAGTCAGTGTCAGTTCTTCTGGGTATATACCTAGGAGTGGAATTGCTTGATCATACCATAATTCTATATTTAAGTTTTTGAGAAATCACCAAACTTTTCTCAGCAGTTGTGCCATTTTACATTCTCACCAACAATGTCTGAGGGTTCCAATTTTTCTACATTCTTGTTAGCCCTTGTTATTTTCCATTGAAAAAAATATATCCATCCTAAGTCAGGTGCAGTGGCTCATGCCTCTAATGCCAGCACTTTGGGAGGATAGCTTGAGGCCAGGAATTTGAGACCAGCCTGGGCAACATAGTGAGATCCTGTCTCTACAAAAAAATTAAGAAATTAGTAGGGCATGGTTATGCCTGCCTGTAGTACCTCTTAGCTGCTCAGGAAGCTGAGGTGGAGGATCACTTGATCCTGGGAGGTTCAGGCCACTGTGAGCTGTGATGGTGTCACTGCACTCCAGCCTGGATAACATGGCAAGAGCCTGTCTCAAATCAATAAATTATATATGTATTATATAATTTATCATATAATAACATTATTATATATACATATTATAAATAATTATATATAAATATTATATATATCCATCCACCTATTACATATATATACAGTGGGTGTGAATTGGTACCTCATTGCAATTTTGATTTGCATTTCCCTAATTAATAAAAATATTGAGTGTCTTTTCATGTGCTTGTTGGCATTTGTATATTTTCTTTGGAGAAATGTCTATTCAAGTCTTTGCCCATTTTAAAATTGAGTTGTGTGTTTTTGCCGATGAGCTGTAAGAGTTCTTTAAATGCTTTGGATACCAGACCTTTATTAGATGTATGATTTTACTTTGTTGGTAATTTTCTTTGATGTTCGAAAGTTTACTATTTTTATGAAGTCTAATTTATCTAGTTCTTCTTTTGTTGTTCATGCTTCTGGTATCATATCTAAGACTCTATTGCTAAAGCTAAAATTATGAAGATATACTCCTATGTTTTCTTCTAAGAGTTTTATGGCTTTAGCTCTTATATGTAGGTTGTTGACCCGCTTTAAGTTAATTTTTCTATATGGTGTAAGATGGGAGTCCAACTTCATTCTTTTGCATGTGGATATCCAGTTGTTCCAGCACCATTTGTTGAAGAGATTATTTGATTATTATTTCCCCCATTGAATGGTCTTGGCACTCTTGTTAAAAATTAATTGACAATACAGTTGGGCCTGGTGGCTCACATGCATGTAATCCCAGCATTTTGGGAGGCCAAGGCAGGCGGATCACTTTTAGCTCAGGAGTTTGAGACCAGCTGGGCAACATGGCAAAACCCCGTATCTACTAAAAATACAAAAATTAGCCAGGTGTGGTGGTGTGTGTCTGTAATTCCAGCTACTTAGGAGGCTGAGGCAAGAGAATTGCTTGAGCCAGGGAGGTGGAGGTTGCAGTGAGCTGAGATAGCACCACTGCACTCCAGCCTGGGCCATAGAGCAAGCCTCCATCTCAAAAAAAAAGTTAATTGACAATAGATGTATGTAGATAGATCATGGATTTATTTCTGGACTCTCAGTTCTATTTTATTGATCTGTTCTTATGCTAGTATCACACTGTTTAGATTACTGTAGCTTTCTAGTAAGTTTTGAATGTGGAAAACGTGAGTACTCCAGCTTCGTTTTTCTTTTTTCAAGATTATTTTGGCTATTCTGCATTCCTTGATTTTCCATATAAATTTGAGGATTGCCTTGTCAATTTCTGCAAAGAAGTCATCTGGGATTTTGATAGAGATTGCATTGAACTTATAGATTAACTCTGGGATATTTCTATCTTTAACAATAAGTCTTCTGGTCCAAAAACATGATATGTATTTTCATTTATTTTGATCTTTTAAGACCTCTTTCAACAATGTTTTATATTTTTTGGAATATACCATTTGGATTTCTTTTGTTATCTTTATTCCTAAGTATTTTTTGATGTTATTGTAAATGGAATTATTTTTCTAATTTCATTTTTGTCTTGTTCATTGACAGTGTATAGAAACAGAATTGATTTTTGCAAACTGATCTCATGTGCTAAAATCTTGCTGAATTCATTTACATATTTTAATTTTTTTGTGAATTGCTTAGGATTTTCTACATAGAAAAATCGTGTCATCTGCCAATTGAGACCATTTTACATCTTTCTTTCCTATCTGGGTGCCTTTTTTTCCCTTATATAATTGCAATAGTTGGAACCTTCAGTATGATGTTGAATGGAAGTGGTGAGTAGACATCCTTGTTTCTTTTGTGATCTTAGAAGGAAAGCATGTTGTCTTTCCCATTAAATGTGATGTTATCTATGTTTTTTTTGTTGTTGCTGCTTTTTTAGTATATACGCTTTATTAGGTTGAGGAAATTCTCTTTTATTCTTTCTGAGTGTTTTTACTATGAAGGAGTTTTGTATTTTGTCATTTTTTTCTGTATCTATTGAGATGATTATGAGGTTTTGATCTTTTATTCTATTAATATAGTATTAATAGAACAATTAATAATATGGTATTACGTTGATGATTTTTTGGATGTTAAACCAACCCTGCATTCCTGGGACAAACTGCACTTGATCATTGTGTATAATCCTTTTTATATGTTGCTGAATTTAGTTTGCTAGTATTTTGTTATTATTGTATCCATATTCATAAGAGGTATTAGTAGTGTTCTTTTTTTGTGATGTCTTTGTCTAATTTCAGTATCAGAATAGTAATGGCCCCATAGAATGAGTTGGGAAGTGTTTATGCCTAACTTTTTGCAAGTTTGTGAAGAATTGATAATAATTTTTCTTTAAAAGCTCCTTTAAATGCAAATATTTTTAAAACGCAAATTATTCTTTAAATGTTTAATTTCACCAATGAAGCCATTGGGGCTTGGCTTTCTTTTTGCAGTTAGGTGTTGGATTACTAATTTCATCTCTTTAGTTGTTAAAGGTTTCTTTAGACTTTCTATTTCTTCTTTAGTCAGGTTTGGTTTCTGTGTTTTTCTAGGAATTTCTCCAGTTCATCTAAGTCATTTAATTTATTGACATATAATTGTTCATAGCATTCACTTATAATTTTTTATTTTTGAAGGTTAGAGGTAATATCTTCTTTTTCATTTCTGATTTTAATCTTTCTTTTTTCTGGTCAGTATAGTTAAAGATTTGCCAATTTTGTTAATCTTTTCAAATAACCAATTTTGGTTTTTAAAGATTTCTCTATTTTTTTCCCATTGGCATTAGCAAGGGTTGGGGAAGTATTTTCTCTATTGTCTTTATTATTAAGGAATTAGCCTGGTCTATGTTATTTCTAGACTAGCCTCTATTATTTTCTTCTTTCTTCTTGGTTTAGGTTTGGGTTTGGGCTCTATGAATATAGAGCTTGATCAACTACCAGGTACATGCTTGAATTCCATCTTGTGATGACAGAGCTGGGATTACAAAGAGGAATGATACACACACTCTTCCATTGAAAACCCATGGTGCAGTGGGAGAGACTCAAATGCACCACTTCCATATAAGTGGCCAGTGCTATAAGGAGCCATTATCAGGAAGGAAATGATAGCCTGGGAGGGCCTCAGAGAAGTCAGAGAAGCTTCCCAGAAGAGGTGATGTTAGAATGGGGTTTTGAAGGAGAATAGAAATCAGTTAGGTATCGAAGTGAAGGAAGGGAGGTTCTGAGAAGGGGTTAGCATGTGGAAAGCCCAGGGCTGAGAGAACAGGGTGCATTCTCAGAACTGGAAGTTGTGTGGTGTTTTTGGAGCAGGACTGAGAAGGTGAGGCTGTGCTTGAGAGAAATGTAAACAGGGGTCCTGTGCGAGAGTCCACGATCTTTCTGCTTCACAAGGCTGAAGCCAGAGCCCTTCCCTGAGCTCAGGCTCAGCTTTGCCAAGTCAGAAGTGATTGCAGAGCTGTAGAAGAGTTGATCTATTAATGGTATGTAGAACAAAGGGAATATTTTTAAATATTGTAGTACAATATTTAAGAAGCTTCCACATGGCAAGAGGAACTGCAGCCCCTACCCAAAGCCAGAAAGGGGATCCTGCCTCATACTTGCTTTTTTGAGGCTGACTTGCGAGGTGTGAGGCCTACCTCGAGAGTGATGGGGTGCCTCTGTGTGTTCTGAACTCTGCGTGAGGACAGGCCCTGATGCCTGGGCAGAAAAGCGCCTCCCTAGGCCAGACCAGACTGGGCCCAGGCCATCATGGCAAGGACTCCACCAGAGAGCAAAAGGTCAGAGCAGATGAAGCAGGATGGGCAGAGGCTGGCAGGTCTATACCAGGCAGCTAGGGGCACTTAGGGGGTTCTTAAACTCCTAGTCACATCAGGAGCTTTGCATCAGTGCTGTCAAAGGGAAGGCCAGGGTCTGGCCTTAAAAGATACCTCTGAGAGACTGTGCTGTGGGTCTGTGAAGGGACTTGGGTTGTGGCAGGAGAAGTCGGGACTCATCCGGCTCCGAAGAGCCATGCAGCCTCATTCACGTGTCCCACTCCAGTGTAGGAAGTCCTGTCTCACACAGGAGCTGGGGACACTGAGGATGGTGGAGGAATTCCACTACAGGGAGACATCAGGAACACAAAGTGTGGTTGTTGGAGCTGGAAGGTGAGGATGAGTTCACCAGCCAGAGAAGAAGAGAAAAGAGCTCCAGAGAGAAGGTACAGCACATACAAAGGTGTGGAGCACTCACTACTCCCTGGGCAACTTCTGCCAAAAATCAGGACCCTTTCCTCCTATACACCCTTCTCACTTCCTGGGCTGTCATGCATGTTTGCTTGTGCAACACTCTGGGAAGCAGGCGGCACAACCCCATCTCACAGATGAGGAAGCCAAGGCTTGAGAAGTGTGATGGGAGATCTGGGACGAGAGTCCCAGCTCCTGCTCCTGGTCCAGTGCTCTGCTCGTGTGTGTGAGCATGCGTGTGTGTGTGTGTGTGAATATATATGTATGGATGTGTGGATATGGAAGGTGTTTGTGTGAGTGCAGGAGTTTGTATGTGTGAACATGTAGGGTGTTTGTGTATGAGTATTTGTGTGTATGTGCATGTTTGTGTGTGTGTGGATATTTATGGGTGTTTGTGTCTATGTGTGTGTTTGTATGCAGGTGCACGTATATATGTGTGAATATGCCTGTGTGTATGTGTGGATATGCAGGGTGTTTGTGTGTGTATTTGTGTGCATGTGTGTGGACCCCATAGGTGTTTGTGTGTGCAGATGTATGTATGTATGTGTGAATGGGTGTATGTGTGTGAAGGGTGGGCACACACAAGGGCCCTGTGAGAGAGAAGCCCCTAACTTGTCTATCAGTCCTTTCTACACTGGGGATGAAGGTTTTGTGAGCCAGGCAGGCTGACAGCTGACATGGAGAAATCTTGGGTACTGGAGTTGCCAAGACATGTTTCATGTCCATGTTCTGTCACTCATTGGTTGCATCACCTCCTTCACTCTCAGTTTTCTCATCTGTAAAATGGTATCCTCATGGTCTCTCTCATGAGTTGCTGTAAAAAAGGATAATTTTTTTGTGTGAAATTTCTAGGGCCTGGCCCATGGAGGGGATCTGTACAAGCTAGGCTGCTCTCCTCTGAAGATCCCAGGGTAGCCAGCCTGGCTTGGCTTCCTGGGGGCCCAACACAATAGGCTTTTCCTGATGGCCTTGGAATTCAGGTCATCCATGGACACATTGGACCCATGGGCACATAGCCTGTCAAATGTGCAGCTCAGCACTCTCTGGGACCCTGTGGGGCAACAGAGAATCAGGCAGACGGGTATTGGGGTGACCCGGGGGGAGGGTCAACATCACACGTGCATCTCAAAGCCTGCCTTTCCCTAGCTGGGTCTGTTATTCCTGGTGGGCAGAGCCCTAGGCCTTGCCTTGCCCACAGGTTGGGGCACACAGGCAGGGTCTTCCCTGACAGCCATTCTGGGGCACAAAGGAGGTGGCTGGCCCAAGGCTGGTGTGGGGTGTATGTTGTAAGAAATGGGGTAGGCCACCAGACCCAAGGTGACCTCTATCAGGGAGAGCCCATTGAGAGGACTGGAACCTGGGTCCTGGATGGGGAGCCAGGACTCGGGAGCCAGTTCTTCATGGGAGCTAAAGTCAGAGCTGGAATAGTCCCATGTGAGAGAGGAGCCTGGAGTTAAGGTTAGGATGGCCCTGAGGCTGAATGGTAGTGGGTGCCGCAGGAGTGGGAAGGTTTAGGTGACGTCTGGTATCACTGCCACTATGAGCTATGCAGAGGGGGCCTAATAAGTCCAGGGGCGGGACCGTCAAGACCCTGGGCCTGGACTGCCCTCTCTCCACAGTGTCTCTGAGCCACATTAGAGGTCTGCGCTTATGGCTTCAGCTCCTCCTTTAGGGCAAGAACCCAGGAAGTTATCTGGTCTGCAGCATTAGGTCCTGGCCAGGAGTACAAACTCAAATGCCCATGAGGCCAGGAAGGTGCCATTGGTGAGTGCAGCAGCCTGGAAGAGTTCCAAATGTCCTAGATGGACACAATTGAAGCTGGTGAGAGAAGTGGGTCATTCACCACCTGGAGGGCACGTGCCTGTTCCCAGGGCAGCAGGTGCTCACCTATGGCTATTGTTGTCCAGCGTGTGACCAGAACTTTGGATTTTTTCATGAAAAGCTGGACATCTGAATTTTTTTTTTTTTTTTTTTTTTTTTTTGAGACAGAGTCTTGCTCTTGTCGCCCAGCTGAACTGCAATGATGCAATCTCGGCTCACTGCAACCTCTGCCTCCCAGGTTCAAGCGATTCTCCTGCCTCAGCCTCTCGAGTAGCTGGGATTACAGCAATTATATGCCACCACACCCAACTAATTTTTTTGTATTTTTAGTAGAGATGGGGTTTCACTATGTTGACCAGGCTGGTTTCAAACTCCTGACCTCAGGTGATCCGCCCACCTTGGCCTCCCAAAGTGCTGGGATTACAGGTGTGAGCTACCGTGCCTGGCTGAAATCTGAATTTTTAAAATTCAGTAAGCCCTCAGTAAGCCACGCCCCAGGACACCCCCAGAGGCAGACGCCCTTTGTTAGGAGCTACATGGTCGTCGTTCCCACCATCCCCCAACACTCAGGAAAGGGGCAGGGACTGTTTCAGGACATCGACTCCTTTCTTGGGCCCATCCTGGGTGGACAGCCACTGTCCGTGGCCCCTTTCTGCACGGACTGGGGTTCCTTTCTGAGTATGCAGAGGGTGGCAACAAGGTCTCTTTCTGAATTAAAAAAAAAAAATTAAAAACAAACTTAAAAAACAAAATTGAAAAAACCCCAAATCCCAGGATGGAAGAATAAATACAATCAACAAAAGTTCTGTTATTTATAAATGGAAATTTTTGCCATTAATAATGATGTGATACTAAAAATTTTTAATGCATATTGATTATAAGGTTTTACCAATTTTTAAATGGGACACTTTGCTTTATATTGCTAAATATAAAACAATATAAAACAAATTTGGACAAGGCTGTCCAAATTTGGGTAATATTTGCTTAACTGCAGTGTCATAATGAAAGTAGCTTGGTATTTTCAAAATTGGATTCTAATTTCTGGCCAGTTAAAGTTCTCAAGGAGAAAAAATTTTAACAACAGAAGGTCTAAGGAATGCATGGTCAAAACAGGAAACACCCAGTGGGCAGGTGACATGGGCGGAACCTCCAGGGAAGGTCAGGCACGCTCAGACTTTGTTCTGCACCTGGCTGTGATCCCTGCTCCTTCTCATAATCCAGTGTGTCTTTTCTTTGACTTCTAGTTAGCTTCAATCTGTGAATTCAAGTACCAACTTTGTTTTTGTTTTCAAAATCTTGAACTCTGGACCACTTTCGGCATGCTGTTTTAAGAAAGTAGTTCACTTTCTGAAAATGGTTTTAATTACTTTGCTATTCACGTGGAAGCATAATTTGCACATTCAGCCAATTTTTGCAAATAACTTTCCTCTGTTTCATATTGTTTCAAGCCTAGAGGAATAATAATTTCTTGTTCCAGGAGATACTGTTTTCAGTCATTAATTGGTGATTTGATTAAAAAACAAATTCTGCCTTCTGCCTGGATCATAGTGATCCCCAAGGGGCTGTTCTGTTGTTTGCAGATCTGAGATATCAATACTCTGTCTCCCTAAACCTTCAGGATAGTCTGCTGCATACACAGTAACCTGTATCAATGTCTGGCTTCTTTCTTTGAAGGTAAAAAGAGGGTGTGCTCTGTGCCTCATCACCATGGTACAAAACAGGATGGCCCCTGCAGCTTGGTGAGAAGATCACTAAACTGAACTAACTTCATAGGATCTGGTTTTTGGCAGCAGATGTAACCATGAGACTAGAAGGCCCCAGGAATTCATAAACTTCCTGGCATTGAGCTGGGCTCGTCCATGGGGTGCGGACTGAATTCAAACGGATGTCCCTAGGTCTCAACAAGCAGAGTAATCACTGCTGTCTGACTTGCACTGATAAGTTTTAAGTCTAATCTGAATTGGGGCTTGCTGAATCTCAAAGATGTCAACCAAGTCATCAGAGAAACCAAAATTCTCCTAACCCAAAATTACCTATGCTAAGATTCACTAGCAGGCAAGTTTTAGCTCAAACTCACGGTGAAGTCCCTGTATTCTGGTTGCCAAGTGGCAGTGTGAGAAAGCAGCCAGCACCACTGCTCGCTAACAGGAGGGCTCACACCACAGTTTGATTTCCACAGGCTGAGGTCTCCTAGGTAGCTCCCTTCCTGGTCTCTGGTGTCACTGAAGGAAGCTCCACAGTGAGAGTAATTGTGGCTCTTTGAGTACCACTGGGCATAGCCAGTGTAAATCTATCCCCCAACTGGTCATCAGTGGATGTGACCCTTCTTAATTCTCACCAAAGACAAAATCAAGCTGTGTCAGGAATTTATTCCTTCTGGTGGGTTCTCGGTCTTGGTGACTTCAAGAATGAAGCTGTGGACCTCACAGTGAGTGTTACAGCTCTTAAAGGTGGGCGTCTGGAATTTGCTCCTTCAGGTGCGTTCATGGTCTCCCTGACTTCAGGAGTGAAGATGCAGACCCTCCCCTTGAGTGTTACAGCTCTTAAACGTGGCGCGGACCCAAACACTGAGCAGCAGCAAGATTCATTATGAAGAGCAAAAGAACAAAACACCCACAGTGCAGAAAGGGACTGGTTGCCACTGCTGGAGCAGGTGGCCAGCTTTTATTCCCTTGTTTGGCCCCGCCCATGTCCTGCTGATTGGTCCGTTTTACAGAGTGCTGCTGATTGGTCCATTTTACAGAGTGCCAATTGGTCCATTTTTACAGAATGCTGATTGATGCATTTACAATCCTCTAGCTAGACACAGAGCACTGATTGGTGCATTTACAATCCTCCAGCTAGACAGAAAAGCTCTCCAAGTCCCCACCCGACCCAGAAGCCCAGCTGGCTTCAGCTTTCAAAGCAGTTCCAGGTTCATGATAAAACCCAAGTGAAAATCCATTTGATTAAAAACTCCCCTTCTCCATTTTCTTTTTTGTTTAAATTGGGACAGCAAAGAGAATTTACAACAACAAATCAAAATGAATTCCAAACCAACCTCCTCTTCCCTAGTAAACAATGAGAAAGTGTCCCACAGTGAGCTCTTCTGGCCAGGGTGGCAGTGCCAGCATTGCCCATTGGCCACATCTCTATCATCCTGCTGTGCTCCTTGTGGCTTTTCCCATCCCCACCTAGCCTGGGAACACTCTGGAAGAAAGGATGCCAAATTGGCAGGAAGGACTCTGAACTTCTAGGCAAGTCTGCCCTGTATAGGTGAAGAGGTGGAGAAGTAATTGCCCTTCCATTACCCAATGCGGGGCTGGAGGCATGAAGCATGTACTCTGGTCATGGCTTCCTGTTTTAGCCATTTCCTCATTAGCAGGTCACCATTTGTTTGATGCATGCTATGCGGATGTGCTTTGGTGTCTGGACAATGCCAGACCAGTGTCCAGGGGCCCACACAGAAGGAGAGCAGACTGGCCCTGTGTCATTCCCTTGGGGAGGCAACGGCCTTCCCAGACCCCAGGGCCCCAGGTTCCTAGAAATTCATTGCCCATTCATTCCTTCAGCAGACGTTTACCCTCTGGCCAGTTCAAGTCATTCTGAGGACCTCCAGGATGCACTAGCTTAGGGAGAAGAGGCAGCAGCCCACTGTGGTTAAGAACAAGACCTCTGGACCCAGACAGCCTGGGTTCAACCCCTTGTTGTGGAATCGCTCACGGTGTGACTTTGGAAAGTTGCCCAACTTCTATGCTCCTGTTTCCCCATCATAAAGTGAGCACAATAAGTGTGGCCACCTCATAGGGCTGTGGTAAGGACAGAGGGAGTTAATTTTTATTAGGCATTTGGAACCAGCTGAGTGACTGACACTCTGGCTGTCATTTGATCATTTCTTGGTATATCTCTTCAATCATCTTGGGTTCTTGTAGCCCCTTACTAATTTCATTTATTCGTGGTAAATATTTACCCTGTATATGCAAAGCTCTGGGCACTGTCTAGGTGCTGGGGATGATGGTGACCCCCTGAGAGTCTCATGGAGGGAAAAAGAGGTACATATCCTAACATAAATGACCCGTGTGGTATGTGCCACCAAGAAGAGAACTGGGGGCCATGGGAACACATGACAGGGCCCTGACTGAGTGTGGGGATTTCAGGAGAAGGGTGTCCCCGAGTCAGGGACTTCCCTGGAACTGTAGATCCACATGCTTGGTTCTCTAAAGTGCTAGCATGAGACTCCTGTGCTTTTCCTTATGGGAAAAATAAACTTAAGGGTTGATGCCAGACCTCAGTGCCCCCCAAAGCCATGACCTTTTGTAGCAGGGAAGAGGGGGGTGGGAATCACTTTACCTTCTGGACAGGAATGCTTCCTTTGAGGTTTTTTTTCTATCTCCAATCTAAGGCTCCAACCCCAGAAGCCAAAACCAATTCTTGCTGTGATAAACTTTGCCAAGATGTAACCAACCCCCAGGAAGACATAATTACACTGTACTTAAGTAATTGCTGTTATTACCATCTCAGTTTGAAGAGCTACAATTGAATTACTTCCTTTGTTTATTTTTATTTTCTAAACTTTTTTTTTTTTTTTTTTTTTTTACAGCTATAGTGGATATCCTGCCAGGGCAATAATAGTAGTTTTACCTTCTTTTTCTTTTTTAAAGAGCTGCAGTGGTTCCAGATTGATGATCCTTCATAATTTAGTTATTCTTCTCCCTATAGATGAAACTTTGGATTGTTTCCAGGTTTGCTTGTTTGTTTGCTAACATAAACAATTGTACAAGGAGCATACTCGTATACATCTATTTTTAAGTATGCTACAGTCTTGTTGGTTATTGTGGTCAGTGTCTGTTCTGATCAGGGCATGCTTGTGATGTAAGAGTAACTTAATGTTTTGATTATGATCCCTGGCCTTTTCCAGAAGTGGCATCCAAGGGCATCCAGATTAAAATGTCAGCAGTAACTGTCAGGTTAATTCTCAAAATCATTGTAGCAATTTATAGTGTCATCAAAATTAGACTACTGGTACCAACATTTTAAACATTTGCTAAACTGATGAATTTTAATTTGCATTATCCCAACACTGTTGTCTTGTAACATGCTATTGTTCATTTGTATAATCTCTTCTGTTAATTGCCCTTTGTGTCCTTTATCTGTTTTATAGTCGTCTTTTTATTATTAATTTCATAAACTTTTCATATCAGGGATATAAACCTTTTGTCTATTTTAAGTATTGCAATTATTTTCTTCTAGTCTAGTAAAAAACTGTTTAATGGCTTACAAAATCAGGAGTTTAAAAAGTTTATGTAACCAAATTTATCAAGTTAGTTTTTCTCTTTATGGGCTCTAGAGTTCCTGTTTTTTGTTTTGTTTTGTTTTGTTTTGTTTGTTTGTTTTTCGAGACAAGGTCTGGCTCTATTGCCCAGGCTGGAATGCAGTGGTGGGATCTTGGCTCACTGCAACCGCCACTTCCTGGGCTCAAGCCATCCTCCCACTTCAGTCTCCCGAATAGCTGATACTACAGGCACACACCACCATGCCTGGCTAATTTTTTTTTTTGAGATGGAGTTTTGCCACGTTGCCTAGACTGGTCTCAAACTTGTGAGCTCAAGTGATGCTGGGATAACAAGCATGAGCCATTACACCTCGCCTAGGTTTCCTATTTTATTTAAGTAGAAATCCTCATTGTAAGGTTACACAACATTTTCTTATAATATAATATATATGTGTGTGTGTGTGTGTGTGTGTGTGTGTGTGTGTATTTATTTATTTATTTACATTTAGCTATTCAATCTATCTGGAAATTTTGTACATGGTATGTGATAGGAATTTAACTTTATTTTCTTTAAAAATGGATAACCAGATGTGTCAATATATTTTTTAAGGAACTCATCCTTTCCTCACTGACCTATAGTATGACTTCACCATATAATAGATTTATACATCTGCTTGGATCTGTTCCTGTGCTTTAATTGTCTGGTCCTTAGCTAAGTGAATGACTCAGTCTCATACTGACCAGAGATAGAGATAGGAAGGAGAGCCTTGGGGGGCCCTTCCTCCTGCTGGGGGCTTTATCCCTGCCTCCTGGAAGACCACCAACCCCCCTGCATGTTCCTGCTCTGCCCAAGTCCATCTTGAGACCCATGTCATTGGGAAGCCATTGTTTCTTTTGTCGGTGGGATTCAGGGAGATTGTCCAAACTGGCCGTCATTCTTAATTAGGGCATTCTCTCTGCTCAGGCATCAGAATCCCTTTCCTGAGCTTACACTATAAAATCCCCAGGGTATGAGACCCCAGTCAGGCACAGATTCAGGGTTAAGCCATCCTATCTCTCCAAATGGTAAGCTCCTGATGGTGCTTCATCATCATGAAGAAGATGATCTGTCTGAGTATTGAGGACTGCCGACTCACTAAAATTTACCCCCAGGCCCTGGGCTTCCTTATCAGTGACCTTGGTACCCCATTCTCTAGTCTGAAGTTACTGAGAGAAAGAGAGAGAGAGAGCACGCAAACGACACCCAGAGTGCTGAGAAGAAAGGCAAATAGCTTCCAACGGCAATGCAGGGTCTCGGTATGTGACTGGATAAGAGGAAGAGTCTGGGTTCAGCTCCATCTCTGTCACCTACCAGCTGCATGACTGTGGGTAAGGTATTTCACCTTTTGGAGTCTCATTCCCTCAATAAATTGACTAGAATTAAATACCCAGTCCAGCATCTGGTGCCCAGAAGATCCTCAATAGGGGTCAGCCCCCACCTTCCTTCCAGAGTTTGAAGTCAGAGCTCTGGCCATATCTTTTCCAGATGGAAATTAGTGTCCCTTCCATTGCTTGCCCCATAGGATCTCCAAGGAATGGTTTCTGTTGCATGCTCTCAGTTGCCAAATGTGCTCCTTCCCTCCCTCTCCTTCTCTCTTGGGAGAGCAGAGGTGGATTTTACAATTCCTGCTCCTGGTGTGGTCCTGTGAAGGCAGATGCACTTCCACAAGGATTCCTCTGCTTTCCAATGATGGGAACAGAAAATCCAATCTTGGGACCTCAGGCCGTGGGAGGGATGCTTGAGTAAACCAGATACCTTCATTCCATGCTATGACCTGATGGAGATTCAGAGCGATCACAAGCATATTCTGCTGGTGCCCTTCTTGAGAAGTGCTATGGCTTGAGCATTGCCTCCAAAACTCATGTTGTAATTTAATTGCCATTGCGATGATATTAAGAGGAGGGTGCTTTGAGGGGTGATTAGCTCATGAGGGCTCTGCCTGCATGAATGGATTAATGCTGTTATTGTAGGAGTGGGTTTCTGATAAAAGGATCAAGTTCGGCCCCCTCCCTTCTCTGTTTCATGTGCTTGCTTGCCCTTCCACCTTCTATCATGGGATGATGCAACATGAAAGCAGAGATGCTGGTGCCATGCTCTTGGACTTCACAGCCTCCATAATTGTGAGCCAAATAAATTTCTTCTCTTTATAAATTACCCAGGGTATGGTATTCTGTTATAGCAACACAAAACAGCCTAAGACAGGAGGGCTCAAGGAAAAGGAGAGCAATCCCAGGTAGGGTTAGCATCCACAGGAGCACTGTGGACTAAAGCCCTGATAGAGTGACTATCTGAAAAGTACTGACAGTATCAAGCAGCCTCTGCTGATGACCTTTGGTATCCTGAGCAAGCAACTCAAACTTTCTGACTTTCAGTGTCAGACAGCATACTTTACAGAGTATACTCTGTATGAGGATTAAATAGGTGCATAGTCCATAGGATACAATCAATGAGGACTGAAGCAATAATAAACATATAGGCTGTGAATACTATAGTTTGGTAAATGGCAACAGGGTGGTACAAGAGAAAAGCCAAAGTTTAAAGTGTGTTTAGATTGCAAATATTCCTGACAAAAGGAACATATTAATTAAAATTTACCCACTCTAAGCTATAAAAGTTGATTTCCTTAAAGATTAAAAAAAATTCAAAACAGTATAAACCTTTTAGAAAATTTAGGAATATATGAATGAAAATAAATAATACACAGTTATTACTTGATGACAACCAGTCAACATTTTGCTTTATTCCTTTTCATTCAATTTCCTATTATTTGAAAAAAAAACCTTTAAATGTCTTTGAGATTGATACTGTATATGAAATTTTATAGGATCCATATTAAAATAAATTTACCACATGTATTTTACACTACAAAGTAAACATTTAGAATTTTGAATAGGCCAGGCACAGTGGCTCATGCCAGTAATGTCAGCACTTTGGGAGGCCAAAGCAGGCGGGTCACTTGAACTCAGGAGTTCAAGACCAGCCTGAGAAACATGGTGAAATCCCATCTCTACAAATAAATAGAAAAAAAAAAAAAAAAAAAACAGACAGGATTGGTGGTGCATGCCTGCAGTCCCAGCTACTCAGAAGACTGAGGCAGGAGGATTGCCTGAGCCTGGGGAAGTCAAGGCTGCAGTGAGCCATGATCATGCCATGGCACTCTAGCCTGGGCAACAGAGTGAGACCCTGTCTCAAAACAAAACAAAACAAATTCTGAATAAACACCATGTTAGAGTCTACCCAATGTTGTATTACATTGCTATAGTCACTTCATACTACAAAATGAATGTTTAATAATTCTGGTTAAACACTGTTTTAGAGCCTGTCCAATGTTGTATCCCATTGCTATATTTACTTAACCAGTTCCATATATTGTAAATTGAAATTGTTTTCAATTTTCCACTTTTGTAATTAGCAAGATGATAACATTTTCTTGCATTGAGCTTTGTGACTTTTGTATTTTAGATTTCTCTAGGATACATTGCTGAGACTGAATGCCTGGGTCTGAGGGATGAACATTTTTAATGTTTTGATATAAATGGCTAAATTGCCTTACCAAAAAAAGCATTTTCAGTTTATATTCCTACTATCAACACTATGAAAGTACCCATCTCCTTGCATCTTATGAGCATCACATATTACTATGTTTATAAATGTATAGGGTTTTCATGATTTATTTTGCTAATTTGATTGATTTAAAATGTACAGAGAGCAAATTATAATGGAGAGAGGGTAGTAAGAAGGGATGCAGGCTGAAGGCGAGATGGAGGATATAGGAGAGAAGCCTGGTTCTTCAGGTTGTTCTTCTGCTTTTCTTGCCTGGGAGAGGGGTAGAAAAGGTTGCCAAAGCTACTCTGTTTTCTTCCTCTTCTTTGGGTAGGGTGGGGGTGGTGAAAGCAGGAGGGAGGAACAGAAGGTTCATCTCCATGGGAGAAGGGCTAAGCCTTGTTGCATGCACAGGCTTCTGCATAGGTGAGTGAATCATGACTAGTATCAGGTCCAACTAGGAAGAGCAGTGCCCGACCTGTCAGCGTATGGTCAACAGAGTATTGTACTGCCTGAGCTGGGGAGCCCCAGCAGATTCTGTGAGCTGTGGGCCAGCAAGGGCCAGGCCATGGGATGGAACAGAAAGGTTTGGGCTGCCCCTTGTGGTCCAGCTAGTATCTGCTCTAAGAATCCTTAGATGGAGTTATGGATGATGGTTTTGCTTCCAGGCACAGGCCAGAGCAAAAGGCAGCTTCCCATGGACCAAGTGTCCTGGCATCCCCAGTTCTGTGGGGCCCCTCACCCTTCTGTGGCCACAATGTTGTCTTTTCCTATGCAGGTGGCAAGTGGGGTTCTTGAGTGGCAGAGCTGAGCTGTGGCCATTCCCCAGTTTCCTGGTACCAGGTGTGGCAGCCCTATTCCTCTGGGAGCAGCATGTTGCCAGAAACTTCTCTGCTCCCTGTCTTGCTCTCCACAAATGCCCCACCTGTACCATGCCTTCCTCTTATGCTCAGTGAATAGCTCCTGCCCTTCTAGTTGTCCTACCAGGAAGTGACACCTTCCTCTGATTGGAGTGCCCTGGCTTGATGGATGGTAATTCTCTGAATAGTTGTCCTTTGGGGTGAAATGGGGGCTATCTGTGCATAGGTGCTTGTGAGAAGGGCAGCTGGCCCTGATGCAGCTGCAGCACACAGGGTGAGGGTACTAACAGTGTTCACCCAGTCCCAGCTGTGCAACCCTGAGTGGGGAATGCTTCACACTTCAGCCACTGGAATTCTCACAGAACCCTTGCACAAGTATCTTCATTTAATGGAAAACAGACTGAGGCAGAGCTGGAATTTAAATCCAGGTCTGCCCAATGCCAAGTCCACATCCTGTCTATGAAGCCATCCTTGTGGCCTTTGCATTGCCCCCATCTTTGCCATTCCAAGTGGTGTCCTCCAGTCAGTCCGAGGTGGGCCCTCAGAAGGGAGGCCAGCTGCTGAGCGGGAGAAGAGAGATCTCCCTCATGTGTCCTGGCTCTAGTGCCAGTGTGCCACATCAGCCCTTTAAAGCCGAAGTTTTATCATTGTTAAATAGGTTTGTGCTCTTCAGAGATTGCTTCCTAAACTGCAAAGCGCAAAGGATGAGGACTCCCAGTCTGGTGGTGGGGAGGAAAGATGGGTCAACAACTAACGCCCTGGGCTGGAGGGCTCTGCCTGGTTTGCGGATTCCCCTCCCCACACCGTGCCCAGGGCCAGCTGGGCCCTGCAGCAGCCTTTTCATTCCATTGTCACAGGGAACTCCCCCCTCCTGACCAGGCCTCCTCCTTTGCTTGGCTCGCGCACCTCACACTGGAAAGCATGACTTCAAGCCTACTCCGAGTAATGAGGGAGGCCTCCTGGCAGCATCTGCCATGACTGCCAGGGGCCAGCAGATTTGCGTGGCTCACCCTGATTCACCCGCATGGGCTCAGAGCCTCTCCCTCTCTTTGGTGTGTGCTTTGAGGTGAGCAGAGCAGCTGGTTGGAGAGCGCATCCAATGACTGTTCAGAGTTGCTCCTGTGGTCCCGCTTCCCAGCTCTCTGTCCTGGCTGGCATGACTCCTTTGAAACGGTTCCCAGGCGATTCCTGGAAATGGGGGTGCTCGCTTTTTTGAAGTCAGAGGTGATACTGAACATATGTAACACCTAGCCATGGTGGGGCTCCGCTCGGCTGACTCCCCAGGGCAGGAAACACAGCCACCAGCTAAGGTGTCCTCACCTGTCCTGAAGAGAAAGGCTCAGGATCCTTCAGGTTGAAGGATCTCTCCACTCAAACACACACACAGAACACACATCACACACAGACGCCACACACCACACACACACACCACCCATTTCACCACACACATCACACACCACAGAATACACCACACACACACCACACACATGCCAAACACTGCACCACACACTGGACCACACACACACTACACACGCCACACACACCATATACACCACACACACACCACAGAATATACCCCCCTCACACACCACACATGCACATCACACAATGCACCACACACACTGCACCACACACACACACTACACACACCACACACTACACACACCACACACACCACAGAATACACCCCCCACACACCACACACATCACATACAGACACACATACTAACACCCCATACAGTACACCCTATACACATACCACACAATACAGCACAAACACACCACATATACACACCACACATCACAGCACACCACACACACACCACATACACATAACACACAGCATACACACACCCCAAACAGTACACCACACGTGAAACACATGCCACTCACATACCCTACACAATACAACACACACACAAAATACACACACAGCATACACACATCACACACACCACATAACACAGCACGCACTACACACCTCACACACCACACATACCACACACACTCTACATAATACGTCACACATACCACACAACACGCACACATCCACACAATATACCACATACACACCGCACATACACCATACTCACATGTGCCACACACATACCCCACATGATATATCACATAAACACACACACACTTAATTTGGCATAGTCAGCAAGATAAGTGAGTACAGTACCTGCACGTGAAATTGGCATTTGGAAGCCCCGGGATGCTCCTGGGGACGGAGGACTGCGGGGAGAAGACAATGTGACTGGGGAGCACCGGCCATTGGGGAGGAGATGGTGCGACCGGGGAGAACCAGGAGTGCTTGGAGGGACACCCCAAGAAACGGGTTTCCATGCCCTGTGTGATAGCAAAGGTGCTCCTTAGACCCATCCTGTGCTCAATCTAGGACTGGAGTGCCAGAAACCAGACCTAAAGGCATTGGAAGGGAAATACAGAGATCCTAGCACAAGGAGTGAACAGTGAGGGGAAGAAGGAGCCTCCGAATAGGCCTGGAGACTGGAATTGCCAGCGTTACACATTTCTAAATTGTTTTTCTGATGCTCTCTCTAAGAGGGGAGGCACTATCACTCTTGGATAAAGGCACAGTGTTACAATGTCCTTCTGATGGCACACTTGCCCACCTTAGCTTTAACCTCACAGAAGGTGTGCTTCTGCCAATTGCTATGCATTGACCAGCAGTCATAGTGGAGCTGACACCAAGGAGCTGTTTTCTTTGCCTCTGATTCCTTCTCAAAATTGCACCAAATATTTGCCATGGCTTCTGGCTGGAAGTAGGAATGTTGTTCTGAACAATATTATGGGGTGGCGGTGAGATGGACTTGAGAGGCATCCCGGACTCATGACTCGTCTCTTTCCCTGCATCCCCAGAATCCTGTCACATTACTCTTAATGGTCCAGAAAATACAAGGACTCCTCGAAGGATGAAAGAAGGGATTTGGTGAGCAGAGGAAACTATAACCCACACTGTGTGCAGTGGAGGACCAGTGAGAAAGTGTGGGGGGCTTATGGAGTGCTTCCAGCAGGGAAGAGGCACGTAGAAGGAGCAGAGGGCCCTGGAGCCACAGCAGGCAAACCTCTTGGGAATATGAGACAAAATACTACACATACGAAGCCACATTTGTTCATTCTCCTTGCCAGCAGAATTTTACGAAGCCCCTGACTCAGTGGCTGAGTGCAGCCCTCCAGAAGAATGCCCTGAAGATGATAAGCAGGATAGAGCACAGGCTGCCATCTCTCTTGCCTAAATCACTACATTTTAAGAAAAAGATAAGTTCAATGATCCTAGCTTTTGCCTCTTCTTGTACATAAGACAATGTTCAAGAGGATTAGAGATTATGCTTCTATAATCTATAACCAGGTGCACCCAAACATTGAGGAGATTCTGCTCTAATGTAACTTCTGAGCACATGCAAAACCTCCACCGCCAGTATAGAAGCTGTGGGCTGCCACATTGCTTTGGAGCAGTCTAGCAGAAGTTCTGTGAAAGGCTCTCCTGGGTTGCAATCCTCAGTGAGACTTCTGAATAAAACTAACTTTAATTATCGAAAAGCCTGATTTTTTTCTTTCATTGACAGGAACCAGAGTTGAGATTGTTGGCTCTGTCCTCCTTCACCCAGCAGCAGGCAACTTTGGGAGCGGGCACTTGAGTAGGAGTGTGAAGGTAGCCCCAGAAGCACTGGGGACCTCCCATGCATAGAACACTAACTACTGGCACACTCAGCCCAGTAGAATTCTCTCCACCTCCCCAGCCCTGGAGACAGCCTTCACTGCTTGCAGGTAACAAAGATAATGCTCACTGAAGGATCTCAGAGAACCTTAGGTCAAAGACAGGTATTCAAACAAGACATAAACAATTGTGAAAAAAGTCACAATTGAATACCAGCACCAAGGAAATAGAGTTAATTGAATGAAGAGATTTTATTTATTTATTTATTTATTTATTTATTTATTTTTACTTTTTGAGATGAAATCTCTCTCTGGCGCCCAGGCTGGAGTTCAGTGGCGCGATCTCGGCTCACTGCAACCTCTGTCTCCCGGGTTCAAGCGATTGTCCTACCTCAGCCTCCCGAGTAGCTGGGATTATAGGCGCAGCACCACCATGCCCGGCTAATTTTTGTATTTGCAGTAGAGACGGGGTTTCACCATGTTGGCCAGGCTGGTCTCAAACTCCTGATCTCAAGTGATCTGCCTGACTCGGCCTCCCAAAGTGCTGGGATTACAGGCGTGATCCACTGTGCCCAGCCTGAAGAAGAGATTTTAGAAGAAGGAAATATCTCAAGAGGAATGAAAGTATATCAAGAACAAGTGATTATAGAAATGAAATAATTAGATCTTGGCAATGAAAGATATGATTGTCAAAATAAACTAAATAACTTAATGATTAGGATTAGTATCATGATAACATACATAGAGAATTAGTGATGTAGAAGAACAAGGCAAGGGATACTCCAGAATTCAGTGCAAAAAGATAGAAAGGCTGCTAGTGGTCTACCAGATTCCAGTTTCCTCTTCTTTCAGAGTACAAGGCTGGACTACATGCAGGTTGATATGGCCACGTGGCTAAATTCTGTCCAATGAATGTGAGTGGGGGGTCTGTGTGCTGCTGATGAACTAAGGGCGTGCCTTCTCCCTGCTGTCCTGCTTCCCACTGCCTATAGCCAGCTCTGCAAGCAGGTGAGGATGGCACACTAGAGATGTCAGAGAAATGGAATGGAGGGAGCTTTGAGCTTGTCAATGTCAAATAAAAGATAAAATAAAAGATTAGAGATGAATGTCTAAATTTAAAACATTTTATTTGGAAGCAAGAATTGCAAATTGGGGCATACACACAGAGTGGGTAGTCTTAGGTCTGTTCAAAGAACAAAGAAAAGATGGGAGGTTTTACAAAAAGGATAAATGTTATGTATCATTTGAAAGAAAGTTATTTTGCATTAGTAAAGTTTTGGAGAGCTGGTGGCTCTGACTAGTGAGGGATGGTGGTGGGTAGAGTCACAGCAGATTGTTTTAGTAGCTGTTAGATAAAACTGGTTTCAGGTTACAACAGGAAGCTTCAGCAGTTGAGCTTGTGAAAAATGTAATTCTTGGAGCAGGTGCTATGTGCCTCAAGTAATTTTCCCCGCCGGGCCCTTCAATTTGGATTTAGTCAGGTGTAATAGGAATGGCCCAATTTGCATAATCTTCTTTCTTATGGCTCCCTTTTGATCAAGATCTTTCTCCAAAACCATTGCTGATCAACCATACTGTCTTGGGAAAAGCTGTCTATCCCATGAAAAACATCAATTTCTCATTCTGGTGTGCAGTTTGAATGCCTCTGGTTATGGCATCAGGCCTTTTGGTGAACTTTCTGTGTGGCACATACATCAGTCATGAGACATGTTCCTTAAAATTTGTCTACTTTCAGCTTTAGAAATAGAACAGTTCATGTTTTGGTAATTTTATGAGGGAAAGTTGGATTAGAGGAACCCAGAAGAATTTAGGTCTATACTAGTCTATAGGTAAATAGCAAGAACTCAAACACAATGTAGAGTTATCATTTATTAAGAGGCATATTATAACTTTAGAAACACAGGTTTTAAAATTTTTAACATTGATCACGTAAGAACCTCAGATTTAAAACTTTGAGACTGGGAAGCCAAACTGAGGCAGACTTTAGATTTTGCTTACAGTTTTAAGGTTCCTGTGCCAGGAAATGACAATTTTAATGTACTCATTGTAAGGCTGGTAACCCTTGAAGTCAGGCATTTTGTGCATTCTTCAAATATGACATTTTAGTCAAAGCCTTGGTAATATAATCAATTATATTCTGCTATAGAAAGAGAATGGATTTTTTTTTTTTTTTTTTTTTTTTTTTTTTTAGATGTGGTCTCGCTCTGTCTCCCAGGCTCACTCTCCCAGGAATGCAGTGGCATGATCTTGGCTCACTGCAATCTCTGCCTCTCAGGTTCAATCAATTCCTGTGCCTCAGCCTCCCGAGTAGCTGGGATTACAAGTGTGAACCACAATGATCAGCTAATTTTTGTATTTTTTTTTAGTATAGATGGAGTTTTGCCATGTTGGCCAGGTGGGTCTTGAGCTCCTGACCTCAGGTGATCCGCCCGCCTTGGCCTCCCAAAGTGCTGGGATTACAGGCACGAGCCATTGTGCCCCGCTGAAGAGAATGGATTTTCATTGCACTTAGGCAAATAATCATATTGCCATAAGAATACTCACAAATAGTTTTTGAATTCTGGAAGAATCAAGTAAGGAGAAAACACCAAATGCTTTTATCTTTGTTTAAAAAAGTATACTTTATCAAATTGCTGTAAATTATAGATAAAGAGAAATTTTTTCCTTAAATCTGGAGAACAAAATATTTAAGACAAGAATCAACAATGTTTTAAATAAAAGTTATAAAAATATTATTTTTTTTTGAGATAGAGTCTCGTTTGGTCACCCAGGCTGAAGTGCAGTGGCATGATCTCAGCTCATTATAACCTCCGCCTCCTGGGTTCAAACTATTCTCCTGCCTCAGCCTCCTGAGTAACTGGAATTACAGGTGCTCACCACCAGTGTTCCTCTGTTGTCCAGGCCGGAGTGCAGTGGCACGATCTCAGCTCACTGCAAGCTCCGCCTCCTGGGTTCACACCATTCTCCTGCCTCAGCCTCCCAAATAGGTGGGACTACAGGTGCCCACCACCATGCCTGGCTAATTTTTTGTATTTTTAGTAGAGATGGGGTTTCACTGTGTTAGCCAGGATGGTCTTGATCTCCTGACGTCGTGATCCACCCATCTCGGCCTCCCAAAGTGCTGGGCGTGAGCCACCATGCCTGGCCAAAAATATCTTTATCAATTACTTAATTCATGTAATTAATTTTTGTCCTGATTGATCTTGATTACTAGTTTCATGAACCCATCAATTTATTTAGTAGAGATCTGGACATTTTTATTTAGTCTATTGATCTTAAAGTTAACAGAAACCTGTATTTAAGAGTATTTATTAGAATCTTTTCCATTAATCTGATTGTAAATGTTTTTAGAGAAGAATTCAAAACTGTGGATGACAAAAACTTAGAATAGCCATAGTTAAAAATCTGACGAAAGTTTATAATCAACAAGGAAATTTCGTTATTTCTATTATATATAGCATTTTAAGATAACCAGAATTATGACTAAGACATATTTCTATAAATTTGTTTATACTTTTTTCTTTTTTTCTCATCTGATATTTTTATAAATTTACAGAATTTTCAGAACTTTCATATCAACAACATACCAATAAATGCAACTAAAAGAAGATCTAGTATCACTTATCATTTGACAATGTTTTTTGTATGATTTACCAAATAACAGTAATCATTTAATATCCCCATCTACAAGATGAGAGGTATATCTCTTGAGACTTTCCAGGGACCAAATTAGAAAAATCCCAAGGTTAATTCTAGGTCATGAAGACTTAGGTTAGGATTTGATTTTGGGGAAGTTTGTCAATGATGTAAAAAACTTAAAATATTTGATTGAAACAGAATCACAGATCACTGAAAAATAATAGTCATTCACTTAACTAAAGTGATAGTCGAGGTTTCAGAAGCAATATAGAAAGTTACATGGATGTAAACACCTTAACCTTTTTCAATATCAGTTTTTCTAAGTAATCAAAAACCTAATAAAGACAACACAATAAATTATCTTGATAAAATGGTTTTTTTTTTTTTTTGGCTCAGTAACCAAAAAGTTAAAAAGAAAATCTGCAGAATGACTGTTTCTCCTTACCAGAATCTCACTAATATAACCTGTAAGTTGAACCTAATGAAAAATATACTTGATTTTAATCCCACACAGGAAGAATATGTCCAAGATTGTGAGTATACACTATATTATAGAAGAATGTAAACAAGAAAACTAGTACCTTGAGAAAGAAAATACATGGCTCTTAGTAACAGCATGGAAAAGCTTCCTGGTTACAATGGTACAATTCAGACATATTGAGAAAAGCCAAGAGTATAGAATCAAATTATATTGGAGGAAAACATTGCTTTTCTAGGCTTTTAAGAGAAACACTTCAGCATCAGACCATAATAGCAGAGGTAGAACTGGCGGGAAAAAAAAAAGATGTAAGAGTTGACAAAAAAGGTTGAAGGAGAGAATTATCACCCCAGCCAAGCAAAAAATACACCTTTTCAAGGGGAGAAAGTTCAGAAGGCAAGGATCTTTTGCTGCAAGTCATGTGCTGCAAGGTACAGCAGAAGTTGAACTTCTGAGACAAAAATTTGAGAAATTTCAAAAGGAAAACTTTACCTCAAGGAATGAATTACCATTGTAAATAAAGAGGACCATATTTTTAAGCCAAAACTAGGGAAATTAATTAGATCTCAGGAAATGTGGCAGATACTGACACTGGCTGCAGTTTAGAAGATTGTTGTTAAAAAAAACAGATTTTAGAATTAAAAATAAAACCCTTTTGCAATTTTATTAAGAGCAGACCAATACTTCAAAAAAACTTTGTTGTTCTAAATAGGGGGCCACATTTTTTTGGTTTAGTATTAGTGTATTTTTAGTATCAAATTTTAATCTTTAGAAACATTTATAAATAATTCCCTTCTAATTATAAACAACTTGATCATACACAAAATTTATTTCATAACTTCCCCCTTTATGAACCTTTTTATGACTTACTTGGACCATAGTTGACATACTTGTTTTTTTTGCTTTTTTCTATACGTCCTGTTTCTTAAATAACTAGTCGTTTTGCTTTAGGACAACAATTTACCACATAAGAGTCTTTCTCAAATAAATTATTTTTTTCATATTACTTATATTTTGATTAATAAACCTAAATATATTTAGTATTATTATAAAATTGAAGAAGCCAAGAACAAACTTGTATTTATTTAGCAATTTGTTGGTTTTTTCTTATTTGGATATGAACCGGACATTTAATGAGTACCTATTATTTAATTTACCATAACTTTAAGATTTTAGATTACATGAAAAGTTTATTTATAAATGTTTATTCTATTTATAGTCACCTAATCTTTTTAACAATTATATCTAGAGTTTATATGTATAATCATCTAATTTTTTTTAACAACTATATCTAGAGTTTACTATGAAAATTGAGGTATTAGAGCTAGTCATTAAGTTCTTTTATTAGCCAACTTGGTAGCCTGTTAATATCAAGTGTTTACCTAAGTAAGAGCCTTAAAGTTAAATAAATGGGTATTTGGTTGATAACTCACAAGCTATAGCTGTTTTTATTGAATCAACAATATTAAAATAATCTTACTTATCAAAGAATTGCACAAAAATCATTCTGTTTTAGGCTGGGTTCACAGCTTTATAACCTTAAAGGATCTAACAGAAGCAAATAAACTGTCTAATCAGTTCACCCAGGCAAAAAATATATGTTGACAATTTTGGGACATTTCTAATTTTATGTTATCAACAATTTTGAAGCCAATTAATATATCCAATATTTACTTAAGTCATGTGAACGAAAAAAATTTTTGTTCATTGCTGTATATTTTATATGAGTGCTCATTTATCTAAATAGAATTCTTTAAGGAATTTTTGGCCAGCTATGCCAGATTTTGCCATGTAGACACAACATAAAACACAATACATGTACATATGTGTAAACACATCTAAACACATATACACACACACCAAGATCTTACAGCATCAGCAGTAAGCAAATAACTGTGGAAATGACTTTAAATAGGCGTAGTTAAAAACAGAATTGACAAGAAAATTTGGTTATTTCTGTGGTTTACAATAACTTAACATAATAACTATGATTGATAGCATATACTCAGACATATTAGAATTTTAGAAACCCCATATAATTTTGGAACATATATTAATATCATTCACTAAAATATAGCCTGAAGAAGGTTAAACATTAGTTTTTATTTTGACAATGCTTCTCATGTAACTTAACATGTCAAATAATCCTGTTAACCTCTCTTTTGGATGCTTCAGGGGCCCTCTGTAGCACCTCAAAGTTAGAGGTCAGAAAAGACAATTTTGAAGCTGAAATTTGATTTTGGGAAGCTTATCAAATATGTTATTAAGGTTTAAAACACTTAATATTATGAAATAGAATCCCAGGTCAACATAAGTCATTCATTTAGCCAAAATGATGACTCAAAAATATAAAAGGCATAAACCTTTACTCATTGATGGAGGGAAGACTTAGCTTTCCAAACAATCTGTCTCGTCTTTCCCTTCTTTTTTTGGTAGTTTATTCAAAAGGCAAACAAAAATGTTTCATTTTTAAAAATATAGCATAAAAATCTTGTTCAAGAGAGAAAGCCAATTTTAGCATTGCATTAGTGCATTATTGATGTCAAACCCCATTCTTAATAAAACCTTATAGACAAATATGTTCAATTTTAATGTCTGACTATAAGATAAGATTCTCATAAGTCTTTTTTATAACCCTTTACCATTTTTGTTAAAGAGCAGATCAGTGCTCTAAGGAAACTGTTGTGGTTTTATTCCAATGTTCAATTTACAGAAAAAACTGAGTAATACCCCTTTAAATTTAGCCAATATGTTCATACATAGAATCTCTGTTACAATTAATTTTTCACAACTGTTTCACAACTTGTTCAAACCTTTAGCTTTATCCTAATTTAAAACAATACTTTAACCCTCTAAACTAGGCAAAAATTTACATTTCCATGCCTTGTTATAATCTTTTAGTAAAAGCACATTTTGCTTTCCTCATACACTTTGCATGTACAACTTTTTTTAGTAGTCTTAATTACATGTTACAATGTTAATTCTTAGCAATATTAATTTTTGGTGAAAACCCTGTTAAGTAAGTGATTTTAATTACGTACTAGGTTTGGAGCCTAGGACACCAGACAGAAGTACAGATAAGGTCTGACCCTTTTCAGCATAGCTAGGGGAGTGGTTAATTCCACATGTCCTTAGGTCTGACCTAGCTGTTAAGCAGGCAAGTTGAACAATTTTCAAAAGCCAAAGAAGCAGTTTATGACCTTAAAGCATTTAGTAAACCTAATATCTGACCTACCTAATTTATTTACTTATTTTATTTTATTATTATTTTTTTTGAGATGGAGTCTTGCTCTGCCGCCCAGGCTGGAGTGCAGTGTTGCGATCCTGGCTCACTGCAACCTCCACCTCCCGGGCTCAAGCAATTCTCCTGCCTCAGCCTCCTGAGTAGGTGGGATTACAAGCATGTGCCACCATGTCCGGCTAATTTTTGTATTTTTAGTAGAGATGGGGCTTTACCGCGTTGGCCAGGCTGGTCTTGAACTCCTGACTCCAGGGATCTGCCTGCCTTGGCTTCCCAAAGTGCTGTGATTATGAGCATGAGCCACTGCACCCAGCCTGACCTACCTAATTTAGACCAAATGTCTTTATTTTACCAGTAATCTTTAAAACTGTTTTTATTTCTCAGAGATTACTAAAGTCACGTGAACTACAAGGCATTACAGTTTTTTCTTTCAAAATATTTTATTTAAGCCTTATTTTTCTTTAAGCCAGTTACTTAGAGTTCATTTATATAAACATCACACACACGACACATATATAACTACACAGATAGAAAAAGATCCACTAGTTGTAAGATTTTTCATTTGCCAGTTTTTAAGTTTCTTAATTAGATTACTGGCTTCAGGGTGGGGTCCTTCAAGGAGCAGGGCCAGGAAAGGATGCGGTTTCTAGGACCTAATAAGGAGGCACAACTGAATGACAAAAACAGATCTCCAAAATTAAGGGTCCCATTTTTATATTACATCCCAGATCCCTAAAAAGAGGAAAATGCTATAGAAGACAGTGCAATGCTTTTACCATGCATTTAATTGCATGGCAACCCAAAGCCAATCAGCCCATTTTGCAATCAGCCTGTCCCCCGTGAGAGTCAATTAATTTGACTCCTAGTAGGGGGTGGGGATTTTTCCGTACCTTCTAGGTGGCCAAGAGCATGCTTCTCTGATTCAAGCATGGTTAGTATCCCCCCATAACTGCCATTAACCATCTCTAAAAGTATATTTCCTACCTAGTTATTACACACGAAAGTTCTCTTATAATGCAAGTAATTTTTGATACCCCCAAAACTGAAAACCTTCAGATAACACAATGCAAAATCTATTTACTTTCAATTCCTGGGGTTTCATGAGGAAAATCGAGTTTTTTTCCCAAAACCGGGTCTATGGCACTTCCTCTGTTTTTCCTAAGGAGTCCCAGACTATTGGAAGTTATCTTAGGTCTTCTCATGTGTGCATTAAGTGTGGCAAGAAGACAAAATGGAGAAAAACAATTCAGTTGACTGAGAAGAAAAAACAAACAAACCTATTTTCTTCAGAAAAATAAGATCCAAGAAGGGAATAAAAACCCATAAAGGCCATTTAAATATACATATAGCTTGGATATATGTATCCAAGTCAGCTTTAATTAAACTGACTTTTAACCACAGCACTCACAAAAATGTTCTTTTAATTTCTCATTACTCTAGTTTAGCCAGGGCAAACAGCCAATATATCTGGCTTTTAAACTTTACCGTAAGTAACTCTACGAGTGAAACCAACAAACCTCAACTAAGGTTATGACTTAACCATGAGTGTATGAGGTATTTTCAATTTTTACAAAATTAAGAATCTTCAAAGGTAGCTCAGAGAAAGGAAAATTTAAGAAGGGAAGCCAGAAGTTGTTAATGGAGGGGAAGGGAATCAACAAACGGTAAAGGTCACAGAGATGTCCACCAGAATGTACTCATTCTGTAAGCTAGGATAGAACCCAGGCTGCCATTATAAAATGGCAAACCCTTAGCTGCTGAGCTAAAACATTGGGCAGTTTCCACTGCTTTTCCCACAAAGAGTCTAGAGCAATCAATTTTGAGCTTGCAATGGCTTTTAACTACTCAAAATAATTTTTAGAGCTAACTATGATATGAGCCCCAAAATTCCTTTTCCCTAGATGGCAGAGACCAAGAGAAAGTACTGCCACGCTGTTACAAGGTCAAGCTCCCCAGGACATAAAACAAGATGGAGACCTCATTCAGTTTTCTGCTTGTTTCAGGAATCTGTAGCAAAGTTTGTAACCATAGGCAAAAGCCTCTCAATTTTGCAAGTTGCCACCCAACTAGCTGCATGGAGGACCCAAATTAATGTTTTCCATTCTGGCCAGAGAAAAATACATGTGACAAAACATAGACATTAGCCACTCTGCTTAGCACCCACTATCGAACTTGTGAGGCTCAAACTTGCCCCCAGTTGGTCCCTATCATCTTTAATACATTCAAAGTGGATTAAAGGAGTTTCAACATGTGATCTTTGGGCAAGATGGACGCCCTTTTAACAGAAAAGAAAGGGAAAGAAGAGAAAGGGAGAAAAGCATTGCCTGTGGCAGAGTGGGGAAGATGAGGAGCTCAGGGAGGCCAGAGAAAGACCCACCCATTGCAGGGATGCTGAATCAAAAGTTCAGGCGGCTGATTGTTGGTCGTGAAGGATCTTTTCGAGCAGTCCCATCAGCTCCCAAATTTTCCCCTTTGGGGAGAAAAAGTTCCCCACGTTCTATGGCCTGGTACACGCCTAATCCTATCACCCACTGGTGTTAGCAAAGAGTGCAAGGCAGATCACTCCAAAGAGAATAGTGGTTAACCCCATGGTGCCAAATCCACGTTTAACAAAGAGGGACTTTACTGAGGGGGAAGGCCTCCAACCCAATCCCATCCTTTACCAGGTAAAATGAACCCACTACTCACCCAAAGTCAGCCCATTGGTGCTGCGGTCTATTTCCTTTGGATCGGGATCGTAACTAAGCTAAAAGGCTAGCAGATTTAATTTTTTAAGTCAATGAGTCGCATAAGCTTTCGATTTGCCTTTTGTAAAGTCTTTAAATAAAAATACTGAAATCTTTTTAGAAGCTTCTGCATATCAATAGACATCCCTAGATGAGACTAACTTGGGAGCCCTCATTTTCAAATGCACTTCAGTGCAGTTTTGTTCATTTGGAACATTCCACTCTAAGTTATCTTTAGTAAGATTTCACCATTTCTATAAGACTGCTGCTTCCGGGGCCTACCACTTATGCAGGTATTAGCCAGAAGGAACTCAGTTCTTCAGAAATTAAGGATCCAGGCCGGGCGCGGTGGCTCATGCTTGTAATCCCAGCACTTTGGGAGGCGAGGTGGGCGGATCACGAGGTCAGGAGATCGAGACCATCCTGGCTAACACGGTGAAACCCCGTCTCTACTAAAAATACAAAAAAAATTAGCCGGGCGTGGTGGCGGGTGCTTGTAGTCCCAGCTACTTGGGAGGCTGAGGCAGGAGAATGGCGTGAACCCGGGAGGCGGAGCTTGCAGTGAGCCGAGATCACGCCACTGCACTTCAGCCTGGGCGACAGAGCGAGACTCCGTCTCAAATTAAAGAAAAAAAAGAAATTAAGGATTCAATTTTTACCTCAGATTTTGGCTTTGCTCTCAGGTTCCTTTGATCAACCTAGCCAATGATTTTTCTCCTACCAAAGTGCATAAGAAAAATGAAACAAGGCCGGGTGCAGTGGCTCACACTTGTTATCCCAGCTCTTTGGGAGGCCGAGGCGGGTGGATCACCTGAGGTCAGGAGTTCGAGACCAGCCTGGCCAACATGGTGAAACCCCATCTCTACTAAAAATACAAAAAATTAGCAGGGCGTGGTGGTAGACGCCTGTAATCCCAGCTCCTCAGGAGGCTGAGGCAGGAGAATCACTTGAATCTGGGAGGCAGAGAGTGCAGTGAGCTGAGATTGCGCCACTGCACTCCAGCCTGGGCAACAAGGTGAGACTGTCTCAAAAAAAAAAAAAAAAGAAACAAAGGGGTAAAACACAAAAATCCCTGTGAATTTTCAATAGCCTAATTTTACACCCCTGCAATATTACCATTTACTACATTTCTTTCTGACCCAGTCAGATGTAAGAGGCCTCTAACTGTATCCAAGCCAGTTAATTACCAGATCAAATCCATTCCTTGAACCAGCCCAGTTTCTGTCATGACTTCCAAACCCAGTTTGGAACAGAAATTTGCTCAAAGAAACTCGGAGAGCTCAAAACACAAATCAGTGGAGCTCTGACATTGGAGAGAAAACTTACCATGACTTCCAACTGCTCTGAGAGATCAACGAACACAAATAGGTCCTGCAGGTACCTGGCTTCGGTCACTCAGCACTCCTGGGAGTCGTTAGAAGCTCTACTTCAGATCTGCTCTGACACCATCTGATAAAAGAAAAACTTCAGCTGAATTAAATTTAAAGGAGCTTAAGTGAGCAGGCAATGAATGATTCGCGAATTGGGCAGCCTTCTGAGCCAGAGTAGGCTCAGAGACTCCAGCACAGCCACGTGATGGAGGAAGATTTATGGACAGAGAAAGGAAAGTGAGGTACAGAAAACGGAGGTGAGGTACAGAAATAGCTGATTGGTTACAGCTTGGTGTTCACCTTATTTGAACAGGGTTCAAACAGTTGGCTACATTTGATTGGCCAAAACTCATTGATTAGCACAAGTGTAGACTACAGTCTGTTTACACCTCCACTTGTTATAGTTCATGATGTACAGAAAAACCTTTAGGCTGAACTTAAAATATGTAAGGAGGCAGATTTAGGCTAAATTGATTTATTTTTTATTATATTTTTAAGACGGAGTCTCACTCTGTCACTCAGGCTGGAGTGCAGTGGCGTGATCTCGGCTCATCACAACCTCCATCTCCTGGGTTTAAGCGATTCTCCTGCCTCAGCCTCCCAAGTAGGTGGGACTACAGGTGTGTGCCACCATTCCTGGCTATTTTTTGTATTTTTAGTAGAGATGGGGTTTCACCATGTTGGCCAAGCTGGTTTCAAACTCCTGGCCTCAGGTAATCCACCTGCCTTAGCCTCCCAAAGTGCTGGGATTAGAGGTGTGAGCCACCGCACCCGGCCGGCTAAACTTGATTTAACAGTACCTTTTGGGAGATAATTTTTTTGTATAATGGAATAGTTACTCTAATTATAAGCTGCTATTATACCTCATTTGGATCTGGGAATTTTCTCATGTGATGTATGTACACACACACACACACACACACACGACTAATATTGCAATATTCTTTTTTGTCTATGTTTGTGTGTCCTTGTAGAACTTTCTATAGCCCAGTCTGGAAGTGTAGGGAAACTGTATCTGTTTCAGAGTGAAACTGCTCTAGGGGATGGGAAATTTTGAGTTTATTATTTCCATGAGAAAATGGAATGGGGCTTCTTTTGGGGGAAGATTTAAAATTATCTGTGGAAAAAAGTGAGTTGGACTTGGTAATGTAAGATGAGAAATTTTTCATTATTATATTCAATGAGATAGATACAAATACTGGTTTCCTTAATATTTCTGAAATTGTATCATTGACTATGATAGATGAGACTACTGTTCAAACATATTCACTCTTCCACCTCTCCATTTCACTGGAAGAGTGTAGTTACTGGTTCTATTAATGTTGGGCATGGCTCTGACTTGCTTTGGCCTCAGGGTAGGTGGGGGACAGTTCTTTGCCTCTCAACTGTGCTCAGCCATGTAGCTTGCTTTGGTCAATGGATGTTAGCAGATGTGACTCACGGAGGAATGGAAATTACCTTGCATAGCTGGGCTTGTCCTCTTGAACTGCTGCCATCTCCATGCATAACACTTCTTTGAACTCCTTCAGCCTGAGCCCCAGATGGAATATCAGTGGAGAAGTTTAAATCTCAGTGAGGAGCCAAGTTCAGTTGGACTCATAGCTTGAAACAGAGCTGCCCCATTGAGCTCGCCTAGGTCAGCTAGCCCCAGCTGACCTGCAGTCATGTCAATTGTATGTCACTAAGATTCTGTGGCTCTTTTTTACTCAGCTTTAGCTAACTAATATATCACCATATCAGGGAATTTTGGTAGGACAACATAGCTAAGCACAATTTGAGATGGGGAATAGAATAGGGTAAATTCTCTGTTCAAAGCATATGGTAATCTGGTGCCTATTTTACTTATTATCCCATTTGTGCCCTTTTTTATAACATGTCTTTGGAAGCGAAACTGTACATCCAGTGTCTCTGTAACACTGAGTCTATTGTCCATGTAACATTCAGTCTACTGAACTGCTTTAAAATATTAGTTGAATGACAGTAGACTGAATGAATCTCTGTAGTTCCAGAAGGCAGGGAGAAGGATTGGGAGAGTCGACACAAAGTGTGCAGCCAGGGCTGCGTTGGTATTTTTCCTCTGATGTGCTCCACAGAAGGGCAGCTGACCCACTGTGGGTTGATAATTTCACTGGTTCACAGAAGACAGGGAATATAGGACTTTAGGGAAATAATGTGCCTTTGTCTTTGTCTTTCTCTTATTCTCTATCAAGGGGGAAAATGCTGCTCTGGGCTGGTTGGATTCAAGCTCATGGATTGGACCATGGGATAAAGTTTTAGTGGCAGATGGCTACTTCCTTGAAATAGAGTGGAGAAAAAGGGTGGCAGCATTGGTGAGAAGGGACAGGCAGGAGGCAGTAGGGAAGTCCAGCTTTACTCTGGAGAGAAGAAGAGGTGGGGGTGGGGAGGGCAGGGCCAGCTGTTTGGGGTGGGAGGCAGGGAAGGTGTTGGCTGCCCAGTTGACATCTCTTATCTCTTTCCTGGGGCCAGAGTAGGTTATTTTACAGCCCAGCCTCTTTATGGCCTCAGCAGAGAAGCAAAGGCAAACAAAGAACAGGTGATCCCTCAGGGCCCAAGGAGACGCCTCCTACAGCAGGTGTGCCCACTTCAGCAGCCCTGCTGGCCAGAATCTCTACTTAGAAGGCTTCTCGGAAGGCCAGGCCCTTATCGGCTTCCGACTTTGAAGTCCTAGGAACCCTCCCTCACACCTCCCTTCTATGTGGCTTTGAAAATACTTTGATATTCTATCCCTATCCCTTAATTATTTGAACCCTCACCAGTTTGTAATGAGCCTGAACCCATCTTTGCTCCATTTTACATATGACAAAACTGAGGCTGGAAGCGTTGTTGCCAAGCTTCTTTGCCCTTTGTACCATGGGATTTAATTACATATATTTTATGGATTCTTTCCTTTATAAAGTTGTAATCATTCATTCTTTTTTAATAGAGAGAAATTTAGAAAAGGAAACAAAGCAAAAAATGACCTAAAATCCTATGGGTCAGATAACTCCCGTTGATATTCTTTCCTTCTTTCCCCCAGTTCTATTTCCAGAGGTTACCACTTTCAATTTTTATTTCTGTTTCATTCTATAAAGATGAAGAAAATTTTTGACACCTTTAAAAATATAATTTAAATCATCTTAAACTTATAGAAAAGTTGAAAGTGAGGATAAAGAACATTAATTTTTCTATGCCATTTGAGAGCATGATCCCGGCAATTTGCATGAACACCTTGCTACCGCCTCATCTGCAGGCTCCACTAAAGTTTCATCAGCTGTCCCAAGATACACAGGTTTCATTCTCCTGTCTCTGGTCTCCTTCAATCTGGAATGGTTCTCCCTTCTTTCCTTGACTTCCATGGCCTTATGTTTCCAGATGACAGGCCAGTTATTCTGTAGTATGTCCCTCACCTGGGTTGAGGCTGATGCTTCTTCAGGGTTGGATTCACTTGCATGCACCTTCAGCAGGAAGATCACAGAAGCTGTGCTACGTTTTCCTTGCATCCTGTCATGCGGTGAGTAATTTCACTCTAGGATTAGAGATGGTGTTCGCTATGATCATTTGATTACAGAGGTGACTGCCAGCCTTCTCCACTGTAAGGTGACTCTTCTCTTTGTAATAAACAAATATTTTGTGATGAGGCACACTGAAACCATGAATATATTCCATTCCTCATCAAACTGTCACTTTACTCCATCATTTAGTTATATTGAAATGGACTCAGATTTTTATTTTATTCAGTAGGTTATTATCCATCATCATTATTATTTACTTTGATGCTCACATGGTCGAAGATTTGGCCATCAAGGGCCCCTTCAAGCCAGGTTCTGGGCTTTTCTGGCCTGCACCCTTCATTCTTAGAGTACTTCATTACTTTCTAGCTCCCAAGATCTTTCAGGTTTATCTTGGGCTTTCCCAGCCCTTGCCCTGGAATCAGCCATTTTCCGAAGGAGACTTGGATTCTTTTAATGGAGAATGGCATTTAGAAGTCAATATATGGGTGCTAGGAGTGTTCATTGCTATTGGGGTATCACTGCTCCTAGACTCTCTCAGTGGACAGAGCAAGGATATATATGCACACACACTATTAGATCAATATTTATCTCTCTATATAGAAAACCATGAGCTCACTTCAATACTTTCAATTCTAATCAAAACCACAGGGCTTATTCTGGGTTTCCCTCCTTCCATATTCATGACTGCCTTCTCCATGAGTGAGAAAACTGGCTCCCAACTTTGCTCAGTTGGTCCCCCTGCATATACCCAATCTTCCATAGCAGAACTCTGCCCCTCCACTCATTCTGTGTGGCTCTGGCATCCACACTTGGTTGTCCCCTTCTGCC
The DNA here is from genome assembly GCF_000001405.40 of Homo sapiens. NCBI lineage: Eukaryota > Metazoa > Chordata > Mammalia > Primates > Hominidae > Homo > Homo sapiens. The sequence goes on from NC_000010.11 coordinate 47,912,448, forward strand.
ATGTGGACTTTCATTTGACAGTACTTGGACTCTAACACCCTGTGCTAGGCCACCGTGCCCCTGCCTCCCTGCATGGCCACTCTTTGTCCTATTCTGGCTCTGACATGCCATGCCAGGCTCCCCCACGCCAGATGGGTGCCATCTGGTACATATCCCGTGTGCTTAGCTTAGACTACCCGGGCTATGATGGCTACTGTCCCACCCATGCCCATGTGCTGCATGCATCTTATGAAGGCATCTGGTTTATTCTCCCTGCTCATCAGTTCAATCAGCATGTGCTACCAGTGTAGTGCACCAGCATACCATCTGTGGATCTGTGGGATGTTCAGAAGATCAAGGTCTCTGTAGACCACACTATAACAGAAAGCTGGAAAACGAACATGATCTGGGAGAAGACACTGACTTTGTACTTCTATCCTTGCCAGGTGAAAGCAAACTTCTGCTGGTTCTTACCGATACAGATGGGGAGAAAACACAAGCTGAGTCAATAGCTACATACTAAGTGCTGAGAGTGGTTAAGTTGTTCTATGTTGCATTTAGAAAAGCAGCTAAAATTGGAGTTACTGCCTGATTAAATTTACGACGACATACAGTCATTCTCCAAGATTCAGCAACTTCCTGCACAGGCTAAAGAGCTAAAGAGGTGAGCCAAGTGGGCAGAAATGTGACAGGCCTCCCTGTCCCTGCATCTTTCATGTCTTTAATCATGGCATCGATCCCTGTAATTCCCCTAGAAATACAGTAATGCAGGTTTACTATTTGCGTAGGGAAAGAAAATCCCAGGCTCCTGGGCCTGTTCAACCATTTCTTTGACCTCATCTCTCCTTGCTTGATTTTATACCAGTTGTGCTGGAGTACCTTCTAATATGGTTTGGCTCTGTGTCCCCACCCAAATCTCATCTCTAATTGTCATCTCCACATGCCGAGGGAGGTACCTGGTGGGAGGTAATCGGATTATGGGGGCAGTTTACCTCATGCTGTTCTCATGATGGTAAGTTTCCACGAGATCTGATGGTTTAAAAGTGTTTGGGAGTCCCTAGCCTCTCTCCTGCCGCCATGTAAGATGTACCTTGCTTCCCCCTCTGCCATGGTTGTAAGTTTTCTGAGGCCTCCCCAGCCATGTGGAACTGCGAGTCAATTAAAGCTGTTTTGTTTATAAATCACCCAGTCTTAGGTAGTTCTTTATAGCAGTGTGAAAATGGACTAATACACTTCCTTAATGAACTCTCTCAGAAAGGATTCAGGAAATGTAAGCTTGCAAGTTTAGAAATATCCTTATTCTACCTTTACACTTGATATTATCGCTGAGATGAGCGTTTTAGGTTCAAAATATATTTCCAGGAGTCCTAAAAATATAGCTCCATCTTTTCAGAGTCTTCCATCATCCTATGTTGTTGACAAGACTGAGAATGGTCTCTGTCTCTCCTTTCCTTTGTAGGCAACCTTTCTCTTCCTGCTCCCACCCATGGAACATTTTAGAATCTTCTTTTTTTTTTTTTTTTTTTTTTTTTTTGGTGTTTTGAAATTTTGCAGTACCTGTCTAGGTGTGGAGCAGTTCCTCGGGCTTCCTTTTAATCTGTAGCTCTGGAATACTCTTGCTATTGATGATTCTATGTGTCGACTATTTTGCTCACACCCCACCCAGATGCATTCTCTACTGTGGTTCTCTGCTCTTCCCTGTGCCAGGGGAAGCTGATGGCTCCTTTGCTGGCAGGGCTCCAGTTGGGTTTGGTCAATGGGAGGGACTGACAGGAGACTGGAAGTGGAAGGAGAGAGAGGTTGGTAGAATTCTTTTCTACTTCCCCTTGCTTCCATGCTGTCTGGAGGCGGTGGCATGCCTCCACACTACAGAAGCTCCCACTGGGGGCCCTTCCTCTGCAGTCCTCTGGCTGTGGTAATGTGGTTTTCTCCTTTTGTTCTTTTAACTGTAGGGTGGTGATTGCTTCTGTCTTCTGCCAGTCTCTGGGTGCCTCACCATTTCTTGTTTCTTTCCTTTAATGCTTCCCACACCTCTGTAAGTTACCTTTTTATTAAAATCCCTTTGTTTGACAATCTGGGGGTGAATTATGTGTCCTGTGCAGACTATGACTGATATGCTGCCTTTCATTGTCTTGATTTTTCCTTCCTGGAAATTTTAGTAATTGGATGATGGGTCATTAGTGTTAATCATCCATGTCTCTTATTTTAGCTCTGAAGTTTTCCATCTTTCTGTGTTTTTGCTCTACATTATGGGATATTTCCTAAGCTGGTTCTCCCATCCCTTCTAATGATGTGTTTTCAAATTTCAGTAGTCATGCTTAGTTTTCAAGGATTCTTTCTTGCTTTCTTAGTCTGTCTTATTTCATGGCAATCTGCTCTTGTTATATGGATTCAGTAATTTCTCTAATTTAGGCATTAAAGGAAGTTTTGGTCTCTTAAAGTTATTTTCTATTCCCTAAGTTATTTCAGCTTCTTTTGGGGTCAGTTATTTTGTTTATTCATCTTGACCTATCTCCTTTGTGCTGTTGATTTCCTAAATGTGTGAGGATCTTTGGTTCTCTGTTATAAGTACTGGAAAATAAACTGGTTTCCCCGGATAGCTGATGTGGCTTCCCTCTGCTATAGCCTTCCATGAAAAAAGTAGGACAGCTTCCGGGAGCTAGCTATATGTGAGTGGACCATGCTTGGCAGCTGCCCTTCAGAATGCACAGGTTGCGGGCAGGGATGGCCAAGGACATTTCTCAGGGAGCTGTGTGTGTGGGATGGGTCTCTGAGAATGGAGAGCTTGATGAGTTCAGGCCGTGGAAGCAACATCTACACAAGCCTGGATCTGAGAAACTCAACCATACTCCCTGAAAATGGAGAGTTTACATGCAGAATGAGTCTGGGGGAGGCAGCACTAGAAGGCCTGAAAGAGGAAGAGAGTCAGACTGATTTCAGAGGGACCCATCCTAGAGGGACCACTGCCATGACTCCATGGGGACATTTCCAAGGGGAGCCACAGGAGGTTTCACTGGAGAGTTGTGTATGTCTGTCCAGTGTCTAGGAGGTGCTCACCATGGCTGAGCTTGCAGGGCCTCTTAGGACTGTCCAGGTGAGATGTGTGGGTCGTGATGAGGGTTTGGAGAGGTTTCCAGCTAGAATTGGTCGGGACAGCCCATTAGCTCTGGGGCAGAGGCTCAGGGAGGTGGGCAAGCATGCAGGACACAGGAATGCTTATAGCCACAGCTCTGCAGGGTGTTTCTTGCCCATAACTGTGTGGAGAGCCATTCTCATCTCAACTCATTTCTTGCCACAACATCTCCCGAGGCAAACTTTGTTATTAGCTCCGCTTTGCAGATGAGAATCTGGGGCAATGCGAGACGGCTTCTGTGCCCGGCTTGTGACCAGTCACCACACTGACTCTCAATGTGGTGTAAGCAACTGTGAATGGGCCTGATTCCAAATCCCAGCAAATTTACAGTAAGGAGGGTGCCTGGGGTCTATCCATCCCCTGACTAGCTGATCTTCAGCTTCCTCATAGGACCAGGGGGAATACTGAGCATGCAGTGGACTGAGGTTCAGAGAGGTAATGTGGAGCGCTGCACACACCTGAGGGAGTTGTGCGCCTGTCTGACTTCCGGGTGATTCATGAGGAACATTCCTGATGGGGTGGGAAGGGAACCTGTCACTAAGCTATTTAGGAGAAGCAGTCTCCAGCAGGTCACACCAGCCAGCCACTTTTATGGCAGAAGGAAAATCCTACCTAGCCCCTTCCCCAGAGATGGCAGAATGCAGCCTGGCTGACTGGCAGAGCCTCTCAGGCTGTGCTCCGGACCCTGGACTCCAGCAAGGGGGAAGAACAGCAGCTCCCAGTTCTTTCTTACAGACTGCTTTCTTGAGGAACTTCAAGTGCTCTGGCTATGATTGGTGCAGGGCTCTGCTGCCTCCAGAGGGTGCTGTCTCCTTTCCCTAGCAGAGGCAAAGGGTCTGGCAGCCAACTCTGGGAGTATTGGTTTAACCTGAAATGTCTGCTAGGAAGAGCTACCTACCCCTCTCCTGGGCATTATGGTCCTGAAGGAAGAGCTTGGACTTTGGATTGAAAGTCCAGCCCTACCATCTACAAGTTGGCTGGCTGAGACAAGACACTCTACTTCTTTGAGGCTCAGTTTTCTCGCCTGTGAGATGGGATGATCATACCACACCAGTTAGGCATGAGGATGGACTAAGGGCAGGTTCACATGCTTCTGCCTGGCAAGGGAGCTGTTTGCTGCTTTTACCACCATTTCAGCTCTTCTGCTGTTCTCTGACCCACAAGAGCTAGGGTTCAGGCTGCGTGCCTTGCGCAGTAGTTCTCAAATGTGTCTATGTGGAAGCTTGCCTCCAAGGGCTTACCAGCAAATCCAGACCCCACACAGCTGCCCTGCAAGAAGGAGGTGACAGTGGCTGCGTTCTTGCCTGCACAGAGGACGGGTGTCCATAGAGCTCCCAGCTGGAGTTGAGCAGTTTCTGGTCAAGCAATGTTCTCTGATTTTACATGTCTGGAAGCTACCGTTACAATCAGGTCTTCTTAAATGTCCTCCCTCCCTCCGTCTTCCTTTCTTCCTTTCTTTCTTTGTCAGATGCTGTGTGTGGACTTGTGCTGGGATCTGGAGGCGGAGACAAGAGCTGTGACCTAGACATAGGGGAGTGGGGAGACAAAGCTGCTCAGGCAGACAACCAACTAGGCTGCTACATCTGCCTCTGCAGCAGAGCATGGGAGGGTGGTAGGAATTTGTCATGGCAGCAGGGACATCGGAGCTGGGGTGCAACGGAGGAGCAGCCGCTTTCCAGGTAGTCAAGACAGGAAGGAGCATGGTCCAGAAAGAAGAGATGACAGGTGCCAGTCTACAGCGATGGTGAGCAGAGGCCTGGGGGCTTGGCAGGTGGGTTCGCATCCTGGATCTGGCTGTTTCTTAGCTGAGTGACTTTGGGCAAGTTGCTCAACCACTGAGTGTCACTTTGCTTCATCAGCACGATGGGAATAAAAATGCCCACCTCTCAGAGCTGTTGTGATGATTAACTAAGGTAGTGTCTGCAGAGTCTCTGCACTACAAACGGCAGCTGCCATTCTAGAGGGACCACTGCCATGACTTCATGGGGACATTTCCATGGGGAGCCACAGGAGGTTCACTGGACAGGTGTGTATGTCCAGTGTTTAGGAGGTGCTCTTGAAGCAGATCTGTTACTCTCAGGAGGTTCTCTAAGCGCATATGTGACTTTGCCATGTGGGGATGGGGGGCAGGGAATTATAAGCTAGTGTATTCAAAACAGGAGCAGCCCTTGTAAGCAAAGCTGTTCCATTATAGCCAAGTCATGTGCATCTCAGCTCCAAAGGAGAAAGTGACCATTCTCATTGAATTCTCATCGCCACAACCTTGGGACTGCCTGAGATAAGACACTCCACTTCCAGGGCCCACCCTGAGTTTTCACTCACACCCTGGATGCCCATCTCCTTCCCTCACCCTGGCTGACATTCTCAGCCACACTGCCCTCCCCTGGTCTCCAGGGGCTGAATGCTCCCAGCCTCAGGGCTTTTGCCGTGGCTGTGCCATCCATCTGGCCTATCGAACCCATTTGCTCACAGCATCTCACCCCCTGTAATAATTTATTTCCCTCTTTCCTTGTACCCTGTCTGTCTTCTCCCCCAGGGCTGAGAGCTCCAGAAGGAACCAAGGACAGGGAGCCTGTCTTGTCCAGCTCTGGTGCCCAGCAGGAGAGCCAGGCTCATAGGAGGTCTGCAAGTAATGTTTCTGGACGAACTTATGAAAGGCAGGTCTTTTTATACCCATTTCATGGATGAGGAAACTGAGGCAGAGAGAGAGAGAGACAGGCAGACGCACACACCCCTAGACAGAGAGAAACACTCCTGGAGAAAGAGAAAGGGAGGGAGAGAGGGAGGGGGAGGGAGGGAGAGAGAGAGAGAGAGAGAGAGAGAGAGAAAGAAAGAAAGAAAGAAAGAAAGAAAGAAAGAAAGAAAGAAAGAAAGAGAGAGAGAAAGACAGCGCAGCTCCAGCCTGCCTGTATCCAGGGTTGAGGTGGGCGTGAGAGACACACGCAGGCAGGGCTGCAGTTCCGGGCAGGCCTTGGGGGCTCAAGATGCGGCTCCCCAGGGCGAGTGCTGGGGTCCCGGGGCAGGCGGGCGGCTGGAGCCCTCTCGTGGGCGGGCGCAAGGGGCAGGCTGGGCGGGCGCAGGCGGGAGCGTAGCAGCCGCTCCACTCTGCACGCAGGCAGCATCGGGGCAGCAGGAGCAGGTGAAGCAGGCGCGGCTCTGCCCCGCGCCTGGTGCCCCCTGGGCACAGGAGTGCGGCCGGGGGCGGGGCCGAGTGGGCCCCGGTACGAACCCTCCGGGAAGCCGGGCGCGCTGCCTGCCCTTGGCCCGGGGCGCAGAGCGTCACACTGGATCTGGGGAGCATCCTACCCCCACTGTGGACCTCAGTCTCCTCACCTGAGACATGGGCGGCCCCATCCGCACCCTGTAAGCCGCAAGCCAAGGAGGTAAGGGGTGCATCTGAGGTGTCTGGGCGCTATGGGCATTAGGATATAGTAGCTTTTGCTGAGATTTCAGGAGACAAAGCAAAGGGCCTTCCCTATTCTAACCCCACTGGGAGATTAGCATTGTGTGTATGATTCATTAATTTTCCTCTGATTGACTGGGAAGGCAGGCTGCAGGGGGTCCCTGTTGGGGCTTGCAGCTGGTTCTAGTTTTTGTATCTGGAGAGCTGCCTGGGGACAAAATGCAGAGACACCATTTTATTGACCTTGCGTAATAATCTACCCTCCCCCTCATACACTCGCCACCCCCTTGGGTGTGCCTGAGGGACTTGAGGTCCCCTGGTCCTCACTGGTCAGTGTACCCCAAGCCCAGCAGCCCCAGGCAGATGCCCAACACCACCTTTTCAGTGCTCCTCCTCCTCCTGTCTTGGCCCTCTCTGCCAATCCATTTTCTATATCCAAGTGATCTTACTGGAATGGACCTGACCTTGCTGGTCTGGCCCACCACTCCAGCTTCATCATCTGCCACCCTGGAACCTCTTATTCTGCTTACTTTTCCCAGCAGGCTCTGCTCCTTCCTGCCTCTGTGCCTTTGCACATGCTGTTCCTTGCACTTCGAGTTCCCTCCTCTCCCTGTCCCTTTGGCTGGTTGACTCCTCTTCAGCCTTTGAGCCCTGTACCATTGCCACCTCTTCTCTCACCTCCCTGCTCCCTGCTCCTTCTCTGATCTCTCAACTCACAGGCCTCTCTTTCATATTGGTGTTGGCAATGGCAATGAGTTCCATCTGCATTCGTGCTGGTCAGCCCCTCTGCTCTGGGAGGGCCATGACTGTATAAGTCATCTTTGCAGCCCTTGTTTCTAGCCCAGGGCTTGACACACACTTATTGAGTGGGTGAATGAAGCAGTGAGCATTTTCTGGAGCCCTCCCAGCCCAGTCCTTCCACTCTGATCCTGCTTTAGGTGGTTGGTTTGGGATGAATGGTGTTTCTCCACACCACTGGCCAAGCCTTGCTGATGGTCACCCAGAGCCTTGGGTTCTGGCCCATTTGCTGCTTCTGAGTGCAGTGCCTCTGCCACAGGTTCATGCAGCTGCGACTGTTCTTTATCTTATATTGGGCCCTGTGTTTGGCTCTGGAATAGTTTATTTTGCCATGTTCAGCCCCAAATGGCCCTTTTTGCCCGAAGACCATAGTGCTGGAGAAATCTTCCTGCCTTCGAGATCTGGTTCCTAAATAACCAGACTGTAAACTATCAGGTGAATTCACAGCTTGATCTTTTAAATGACCAAATGAGACTCTTTTTTTTTTTTTTTTTGAGACAGAGTCTCGCTCTGTTGCCCAGGCTGGAGTGCAGTGGTGCACTCTCTGCTGACTGCAACCTCCGCCTCCCAGGTTCAAGTGATTCTCCTGCTTCACCCTCCCATGTAGCTGGGACTACAGGCATGCACCACCACACTTGGCTAATTTTTGTATTTTCAGCAGAGACGGGGTTTCACCATGTTGGCCAGGCAGGTGTTGAAGTCCTGACCTTAGAAACTCATCTTTATAAGTAGATCAGATGCACAGCAAGTGACATTCATGACAGCCGACAAATAGATTTTACTGAGCTCTGGTTGATTTTGGCCTTGTGCTCTGCAAAAACTGCCTTAACATAGCAATTGATCATGTAAAAAATACATATGGCCATGATATGAGACTTAAAGAATATCTCGAATAGGGTTTTCTGCTACAGTGTTTTACAAGATGGGGTCCAAGGGCCATGTGCATCAGAATCACATAGTCTACTTGTTAAATACAGATTCCTGGCCCCCATCCTGGATTCACTTAACTACATCTCCTGGTGGAAGGGCCCTGGGATGTGCACTTTCAACATGCTTCTAGAATGATTCTGATGTTTACTGAAGGTTGAGAACTGCAACCCTGTGGGATTAATAATGACTAGAGAATCTGAGAGGTGAGTCACAATGATGTATGTAGTGGTATGGTGCTTCCCATGCAAAACATCCATCATTGGCACTAACACGGGGGAACTCTGGAGTCTAAATTCCAACTCAGTCTTGGCAGGGGGTCCGTTGTGCTGAGGAGGTCCTCGGAGAAGGGACAGCCTGTACCAGGGCATAGAGATGTGGAAGAGTCTGGTGTGCTTGTGAGCTGCACACTGCATCAAGTGACTTGAACATAGTCATGGAGTAGGTTCTGTGGAGGGCACTGGGCACCTGTGACTTTGGCCAGGTATGTCTGTGCACATGGTGGGTAGTAGGAAGAAGCTGGTGTGCTGATGAGCCAGGCTTTGCATACTGGGCAGTCTTCAGTTTTGCCAGGTATCACCTAAAAAACAAGGCTACCAGGGCAGGGAGGGGCTGAGACCAGGAGGGTGCACTGATTGTGGATCCCCGAGGCTTTAGCTCTATCTTGAAGGGAATGGGGTGCCGTGGAAGGACACAAGCAATCCTGTGCAGAGTGGCATTTATTGCTGTCTCCATTCAGATAAAATGTGACAAGGGGCATTCTACCCATGTTCCCTGAACAATTCCGTCACTAAAGTCTGCATACAGCACTCCAACTTCTTTATCATCAGAACAGCCTCATCCTGAGGCCGGAGGGAATTAGTAGAACAAGTTCTGGCATTAGATGACCTGAGTTTGTAACTGGGCCCTGTTACTAATTAGCTGTGTGACTATGGGCAAGTTGCTTTCCATCTCAGGGTCTTAGATTCCTCATCTATGAAACGGATTGATAATATCTACCTCTAGGAATAAACTAGCTAATAGACGAAAGTGCTGAGCACAGTACCCAGCATGCAACAAGTGCTTCTAACAAGGTAGCAATCATTGGATGCCAATGTCTCACCATGAGCCTTAGGTAATAGCCCCTCCAGATACCAGCCTTGGGTTGGAAGCAGCTGAGAGCCTTTCTACCCGGCCCTGCTCCTCTCTGGATTCTACCCTGGGCATGATCCCTGAGTATTGTTTGTCTGTTTGCCTTGTAGGCGTCATCCCTCAAGTGTATCACTTAGTTCAAGAGTCCTGGAATCTTTTCACATCCACTATGAACACCTCTCACCTCCTGGCCTTGCTGCTCCCAAAATCTCCACAAGGTGAAAACAGAAGCAAACCCCTGGGCACCCCATACAACTTCTCTGAACATTGCCAGGATTCCGTGGACGTGATGGTCTTCATTGTCACTTCCTACAGCATTGAGACTGTCGTGGGGGTCCTGGGTAACCTCTGCCTGATGTGTGTAACTGTGAGGCAGAAGGAGAAAGCCAACGTGACCAACCTGCTTATCGCCAACCTGGCCTTCTCTGACTTCCTCATGTGCCTCCTCTGCCAGCCGCTGACCGCCGTCTACACCATCATGGACTACTGGATCTTTGGAGAGACCCTCTGCAAGATGTCGGCCTTCATCCAGTGCATGTCGGTGACGGTCTCCATCCTCTCGCTCGTCCTCGTGGCCCTGGAGAGGCATCAGCTCATCATCAACCCAACAGGCTGGAAGCCCAGCATCTCACAGGCCTACCTGGGGATTGTGCTCATCTGGGTCATTGCCTGTGTCCTCTCCCTGCCCTTCCTGGCCAACAGCATCCTGGAGAATGTCTTCCACAAGAACCACTCCAAGGCTCTGGAGTTCCTGGCGGATAAGGTGGTCTGTACCGAGTCCTGGCCACTGGCTCACCACCGCACCATCTACACCACCTTCCTGCTCCTCTTCCAGTACTGCCTCCCACTGGGCTTCATCTTGGTCTGTTATGCACGCATCTACCGGCGCCTGCAGAGGCAGGGGCGCGTGTTTCACAAGGGCACCTACAGCTTGCGAGCTGGGCACATGAAGCAGGTCAATGTGGTGCTGGTGGTGATGGTGGTGGCCTTTGCCGTGCTCTGGCTGCCTCTGCATGTGTTCAACAGCCTGGAAGACTGGCACCATGAGGCCATCCCCATCTGCCATGGGAACCTCATCTTCTTAGTGTGCCACTTGCTTGCCATGGCCTCCACCTGTGTCAACCCATTCATCTATGGCTTTCTCAACACCAACTTCAAGAAGGAGATCAAGGCCCTGGTGCTGACTTGCCAGCAGAGCGCCCCCCTGGAGGAGTCAGAGCATCTGCCCCTGTCCACAGTACATACGGAAGTCTCCAAAGGGTCCCTGAGGCTAAGTGGCAGGTCCAATCCCATTTAACCAGGTCTAGGTCTTCTCCCTGCCATGTCCCTTGCCAGGCTCTTCCACTTAGCTAAGTGGGCACACTGCAAGCTGGGGTGGCACCCCAGCATTCCTGGCTTTCTGGGGTCCAGATAGGCTGGCAAGAGCTGTTTTTGCATCCATTTGCATCGTGAAGACTGGCATTTTGATACTTCAGCTGTTTGTTCCTGGGAGAATTCTGAGCACAGATTCCAGAGGTCACAGTAAGCCTTGCAGCTTGAGCTGAAAGATGCCAGAGCCGGAGATGTCTGCTGGCAGCAGGCAGGGTTCATTCTGGTGACACAGCAACAGATGCCTGGCCTGGGAACCCAGGGATTTCACCTCCACCAGTGAGACCACGGGGCCACTGTGGGGTGAGGGAAGGAGCGCTTGGAGTCAGAGCTCTAGACCTTGGTCAACTCTTCACCTCTGTGAGAGATGGTGTGTGGAGGTGCTTCAGAAGTAAAGAATTCTGTGGATGCAAAGCAGTGGGATTACTGTTAGATCATTAGCGCATCCAGCTGAAGACAATAGATGCAGTAGTCTTGGCTTACAGCCCTCTGAAGCAGGAATTCCAGGACTCATTTCCTACTCCATCCCTTTTCTCTATCACTGTGTCTTCCACCTTACATGGAAATCAGCCTGCAAGTTCCTCTCCTCGATGAGATGGCAAGCGCCTTGCAGGTGAAATCCATACCATCATGGGGCTTGTGTCTTACATGCCATGGGCAGGCCCTGGCACAAGGAGAGAGCTCCAGGGAAGTTTTCCATGGTGGGTTGATGGTAAAGGTGCCACTCACTGCTGAATGTTTGGTGCTGGACAGGAGTCCAGCATGGGAAGGGGGCCAGGGCTCAGGCTCCTGCAGCCATAGTCTCCTGCCTGCCCTTCCTTGCCTCCCAGGACCTCATTTGATACAGTAGCTGGACCGAGACTCTGTGGCTCTCCCCACTGTTGACCCACTACAGAGGCCTCCAGAACTCAAGGCTATGGCTGCAGCCTCCTTCACTCTGTGCTCTGACCACTGAGCTGACTTGCCCCAGATAATGTGCCACGTATCTTTCAAAGCTTCCTCAGGGTATTGGGCATCCCAGTGGCCTTAAGTAGGATCAGGGGCAGGGAGTCCTGGGAGTCTAACTTCATGGGGCACTGGCTGAAAAAAGCAGGGGTCCCCTTCCTCCAGCCATCCAGGGAAAAAGGAGAAAGGGCTCCAATGAGTGTGAATATCTTACCTTGGGGGTTATGGCCTAGTCCTCTGGATGCTGAACCAGGCCCAAGGCTTCATCTATGTGTGGACCAGACAGCCTGTCCTTGCAGGGAAAGAAATGTCAAGACTGCTCCTGGGCTGCATTGGATGGGATGTCTCCGCATGGTTCTGTTGGCTCAGACTGACCCTCCAGCAGAGTGGACAGTGGCTGGCCTACTATAGCCTCCCAGGGCAGGGTGTTCATGTGCTGGAGCCCTGGAAGAGCCTCATCATAAGCCAGCATAGGTTCTGCAAAGGGGGTCTGGCATAGGGCTCTCACCCCTGACCAAGAACCGGTGGAACTGACGCCCAAGACAAGTGCTCTTTGAGCCAGCAGCTCCCTTCCTGGAGCTGTTTGTCTTATCGCTTCTTTTGGTCACATCTCCCATTCAGTTCCTTTGTTCATTTTTGTGTTGGATTTTGGGCAGATTTCTTGAGCCACTCTCTTGGACACAGCTTGTGCTTGTCCTGTGGTGCCATCTGCTGCTGGCTGCTCCAGGTGACCACCTGCCAGCGAAGCCCAGGCTCCGGGACCCATCTATTTTGTGAAAAGCCCACATGCACAAAGCAACCCCCAAATGCCAAAGGAGCCAAGAGACCAAAGAAGGAAGCAGACAAATCCAGTTTGTTGGTATTGAGTGATTTATTGAGGGAACTTTTAAGCAGGCGGGTGGTCTCGGGTGGCCACAAGACAGGCAGATCTCTGCACTGTTACTCTCGGACCCAAGGCTTATATACCAAGGGAAAAGGATATACATGCTCCAGCAAGACAGTGAAAGGTAGTGTGCCAGAGCAGGCAAGAACGCCATGTGCATCATAGCCCAGAATTTGCATGATAACATCAAGCTTGCTTTGATCTAAAAGCAGGAGTACATATTCTTACACTCGGGACAGTAAATAAAGTAGGAGTCAGGAGGCATTCATGGGACTGGGGCTAATCAGAAGTCAACATGGGCAAATTAGCATCCAAGATGGAGTCACTTTTGTCTTCCCATCACCCCAGAAAGATGTCATTGTTCAAGCTTCCCAAGGAATTGGGGGCCTCAGGCCCCCCTGGATCCCACGCAAGTGCCTGGAGTTGCTTCTCATTATTAGTCTCGATGGTGCCAAGATGCTGGGGACAAAGATGATTTCAGGTGCAGACATGCTTGAGGACGGAGGGCCAGGCTAGGCCTCTGGGGAAAGTGTTTGGTGCTAAGAATTGGGGTAGTGGGTAGAAGCCTCGTTGAGTGTGTTCTGTGCCCCAGCATCACCTGGAGTTTGTAGATATTCAGTCCTTGTTGCCAGCCCAGCTCGATTGAATCCAAATCCATGTTTTATCAGGATCCCAGGTTAATTGTGTGCACATTAAAGTTTGAGAAGCTCTGCTCTAAGAAACAGGTTGCCCTGGAGCCTAGAGACACTGGGTAAGCACCTGTAGACACCCATCCTAGTTCTGGGAACGTCTCTAAAATTGTTATTGCTGAAAAGGTGCATTCAGTTTTGGTTGTCTGTCTCATCTCTGGCTGCATGTGGTCATATTTTTTGTGAGGCTTTTTCATTCTTTTGATAAATATTTGCCATGTGCATAGTTTGCATAGATATGTTCTTAGTGAACATGGCTTTTTGTATTCTGCTCTATTTCACTTAAAACTGTATCATCAACAGTTTTTCATCTTGCTGGATATCTTTTTTTTTTTTTTTTTTTTGAGAAGGAGTTTCACTCATGCTGCCCAGGCTGGAGTGCAATGGCACGATCTTGGCTCACTGCAGCTTCTGCCTCCTGGATTCAAGCAATTCTCCTGCCTCAGCCTCCTGTGTAACTGGGATTACAGGTGCTTGCCACCACACCCAGCTATTTTTTTTTTTTTTTTGTATTTTTAGTAGAGATGGGGTTTCACTATGTTGGCCAGGCTGGTCTCGAACTCCTGACCTCAGGTGATCCGCTCTGCTCTGACTTCCAAAGTGCTGGGATTACAGGCATGAGCCACCGTGCCCAGCCTAGATATCATTTTTGATGGCCGCTTACAAGTGTACGAACTGTCCCAGTGAAAGCCAGTACCCCTCAGTATCTCTAGCTCCTGGGGGTGGTGGGGGGGGTGGGAGGGCATCTCTAGCCAGCAAGTGGACCCTCTGCCACCCATTGTGAGAGGTACCCACCTTACAGAGGAGGATCATGGCTGGAATTGGAGACTCATACCACAAAGACTGACTGGGAACCCTTGGAAGATGCAAAACTTTATCACGTCCTGGCTGTGAGTGCTAAAACCCTGCCTAATGCTAGCCTTTCTTTTTTAAAGTATTGATGTGGCCTTTTTTTTTCCATTATAAAAGTAATCATATTCATTCTGAAAGATATACAATATATACAAAAATAAAATTGAAAAAAGGAAATTATCAGGAGTTCCACCACTCAGACATAATCACTGTTTACATTTTGGGGAGTCATTTTAAAAGTTTTCATATGCATAGTCATATACATATGTCTGTTTTTTAAAAAAATGGTTGAGAGCATAGTGTGTCCACATGGGAACTTATATATCATATTTAAGGATTGTTTTATATCTTTTTTGTTTAACCTGATATAAATTTTTATTCACTTGTTTATTCATTAAATATGTCAGACACTATGTTAGCTGTGGGGATACAGTGGTTGTAATCAGACATTGTCCCTGTTCTATGGAACTTAGAGTCCATTGATAGATATATCCTATGTCCTTAATATCATCTGTTGTGGCATTCTGAGCTGTCTCTAGACCTGTTGCATAGAGTTTTATGATGAACGTCTATGCAAAGAACCTTTTCTATATTTGGAATTATTTCCTTAGGAGAGATTTCCAGAAGTGGAATTAACAAAGGGCATGGACAGTTTTCAAGGCTCTTGACGTGTGCTGCAAAGTTGATTTCCAAAAAAGGTCTGGAACAATTTCAGGGCACTCCCTGAAGAGTGCCCATTTCACCGTACCCTGGCCACTGTTGGTGATTTACCATTAACCAAAAGACTTTGACCTGTATCGCCCAGACTGGAGGGTGTCCCAGCTCCTGCCTCCAGGTCCAGCAAACACTGTGGGCACTGACCATTCAAGGCTAGCCTGACCCTGTCCCTCTGTGAAACCTTTGGGGGTTCCACAAAGCCTTTAGGGTTGCAGGACCACATAACTTATCCAAACAGGGATACTTGAGCATGAAAGGGGCCACCATGAATAATCACCCTGGGACAACAGGCAAAACTACCCTGGGAAATGGGAACATGAGATCATCCTACTATAGATAAATCTGATCCCTTTAACATAGCTTGAATTCAACCCTCTCCACCATCTGGCCCCAACTTACTTTTTCAGTCTCTTTGCATCCTGACATATCACACGATCCAGTCACAGTCGGCCTGCAATTACCAACCATGCCTTGGGTGTCACTGTCTCTGTACATCTGCTCCCGCCATTCCCTCCTCCTGCCTCCAGCCACCCCAACCCCCGCCAGTCTGCAATGCGCCCCCTCGCCCATCTGTGTAGGTCCAAATCCCACCCTTGCTTCAAAACACAAATTAAATGGTACCATTCAATACTGCTTTCATTCAACAAACATGTACTGACTGCTTACGATGTGTCAGGCACATAGAGTACAAGACCGAAAACATCCCACCTCCTGTGGAACTTTAATTTGTGTGTGCAACTGTGACAACTGGTCCTAAAGATGAACACAAAATGATGTGCCAGAGAGTCTGCCCTGTTATGGTTTTGAATAGACACACCCACCACCCCACAAGGTTATGAGCTCTTTGAGGGTAAAATCCAAGAGGCTCATCCTCCACCCTTGCAAAACCTCTGACACACCCTTGGATAGAGCAGGCACTTAAGCATTTGCCAAGTGAAGAATTAATATGAAAGAAGCTTACCTATTCACTCCGCAAGAGTTTTCTAATAACCAGTTCTGGGTTCTCCATGAATCTGAGATCAAAGGGGAGCCTAAATTTCCACATACCTTAGAGAAACACCCCCAGGTCCTACCACTGTGACTCTCTGTCCACCCTGATACTGGAAGAAACTGAAGTCACCGGACTCACTGATTGCTGCTTCTTGTGAGGTTAAGTGACTCATCCAAGGTCACACAGCTAGATAGTGACTGAGCCACTGGAGGGGTCAGGAGGTGATACAGGAAAGACTCAGAATGCATGAGTGGATAAGTCACCAAAGGAGTCACTGGAGTGGAGGGGCCTGGAGGGGAAGGTGACCCTGAGTGCTGGAATGGCCAGAGAAGAACAAACAAGCTAACAGCCCCAAAGACCTCCATTGTCCCCAGATCCCATTCACTGTCATCTCCTGAAGAACATCACTCTCACACCATCAGTGTTCTCTGCTCCTTTTTGCACAAAACTCCTCCAGAGACTTGTCTAGCCTCTTTCTCTCTCTCTCTTTTTTTTTTTTTTGTTCTTTTAGAGACAGGGTCTTGCTCTGTCACCCAGGCTGGAATGCAGTGGCATGAACATAGCTCACTGCAACTCGAACTCCTGGGCTCAAGTGATCATCTCACCTCAGCCTCTTGAATAGCTAGCACCACAGGTGCATACCACCATGTCCAGCTAATTAAAAAATTAAGTCTTTTTTTTTTCTTTTTTTGATAGAGACTGGGTCTCCCTATGTTGTCCAGGCTGGTTTTCCTTTTTTTTTTCCTTTTTTGTAGAGATGAGGTCTCTCTCTGTTGCCCAGGCTGGTCTTGAACTCCTGGCCTCAAGTGATCCTTCTGTCTCGGCCTCCCAAAGTGCTGGGATTGGCATGGGATACTGTGCCTGGCCCCCTGTCTAATCCTGAAGCTTCCACTTCCTCTCCTCTTATGTGCTCACCAGTCCATTCATATAGCTCTTGCCATGTTGCCAAATCCTGTGGCCAGTTCTCAGTCTTGTCTGATATGGTCGTCAGCTGTATTGGGCAGTTGGTCACTCCCTTCTCCTTGAGACTCCTGCATGTGGCTTTTTCAGGGCATAATGGTCATGGTTCTCCCTGCCTCATTGGGCTCTTCTTCCCCATCTCTTTT
This sequence comes from Homo sapiens, assembly GCF_000001405.40. Lineage (NCBI taxonomy): Eukaryota > Metazoa > Chordata > Mammalia > Primates > Hominidae > Homo > Homo sapiens. The sequence continues at coordinate 47,929,370 of NC_000010.11, forward strand.
CTTGGACTCTTGTTGCCCTGATTTTGGGACACTGGAGCATCCCCAAGGAGCCCTGGAGGTCCTCTCATTCCCCTGGTGAGCTCACCCAGTTTTCTGGTGCTAAATGCCACAAATACTCTAATGTTCCCCAGTGTATCTCCAGTCTGAACTTCTCCCTGACCTCCACATTTGGGTGTCCAGGCATGCTTTGTGTTTCCTAGACACCAGTCAGCATCTCAAGCTTGGCACATTCAAAAGCAAACTCCAGATTTGTCCCTGCTACCTCCTTCCTCAGTGTCCTCCTTTTCAGAAAAGGGCAAGTCCTGCTTTTCATTTGCTTGGGCCACAGTCTTTGGGATCACCTCCTATTCACAACCCTCATCCAATCTATCGGTGAGTTCTGTAAGCTGTGCCTTCAAAATGTTCTCAGAATGACCACTTCTCACTGCCTCCAGGCTCTGCCTTCAGGTTCAAGCCACTGTCCTCCCTACTGAGATCATGGCAGAGGCCTCCTTTCTGGCCTCATTCAGCCAGAGTGATCCACTGAAACTAGTCAGGTGCCTCTACAACTTTGTTCAACCCTCCAGTGGCTTTCCATCATACTCAGGGCAAATTTCACAGTCACAGTCTCCACCTGTGTCTGCAGATCATCCACCCCTCTCTGGCCTCACTTCCCACTACCCTTCCCCTCACCCACTCCTCTTCAGCAGTGCTTGCTTCTCTGCTATCTTTTGAACAGGCTAAGACCTCTCCCGCCTCAGGCCTTTCTACTTCCTACTCTTGCTGCTTGGAATGCCACCCCTTGATATCAACTTTCTCCCTTGCTCCCTTCACCTTAAGTGAACCTTTATTAGAAGATTAATTTCCTGGCTGGGCATGGTGGTTTGTGCCTGTAATCCCAGCACTTCGGGAGGCCAAAGCAGGCAGATCACTTGAGCCCAGGAATTTGAGACCAGTCTAGACAACATAGTGAAACCCCATCTCTCTCTACAAAAATTACAAAAATCAGCTGGGCATGGTGGCACAAGCCTGTATTCTGAGCTACTTGGGAGGCTGAGGTGGGAGGATTGACTAAGCACAGAAGGTCAAGGCTGCAGTGAGCCATGATCACACCGTTGCACACCAGCCTGGGCAACAGAGTGAAAGCCTGTCTCAAAAAACAGAAGACTAATTTTTTAACCATCCTGTAAAAATATAACCATCCTCCCTCTCTCTTCCCTTTTCTGCCCAGTTTCTGCCACAGGACTTAGCACATTGGCTGGTTCTTTGTTGAGGGTCTCCACTCCCTCATTAGAACATGAACCCCATGGAAGTAGGCACTGTAGATGTTTTATTTACTGTCCAGCTCTCAGCAAGAACAGGCTGTTCACGAGAGGTGCAGAAGAAATATCCATAGTACAAGTGAATTTCCAACTGTTATAGTTCATCAGTGGAGAGCTGCACTTCAGCCTCTTATTTGTGGAGAGCGGGCATCTGGTTTTGTAGCTGTTTGGTCCCAAGTTTGACAGCCGTTGTCTGCTGACTGAAAGGGAGCTGAAGCAGCTCCCTTTGCATCCTGGTTTCCTGGTTTGTAATAATAAACACTGGCTGCCATGTATTTAGTGCCCCAACCACTGTGCCAGATGCTTTATATACATTGCCTTCCCTCAATCCTGAGATCAGATAGATGAAGAAACTGAAGCTTATAGAGGTGAAATAATTTTTTCCACATTTTCAATAAGAGCCAAAGATGAAACCCAATCAGTTATCTTCCAAAGCCTATGACTTAGACTGTTGTAGCAGGAAGGACAGTTGGCCAGATGACCTCCAAGTGGCCTTGAAGCTCATAGCTAGAAAGTATGAGCTTTATGGGCAATGGAGAAGCACTGAAAGCTTTTAAGCAGGGGGATGGCATGGTCAGGTTACATGGAGGGAGAGTAGTGTGGCTGGATTGGCCTGCATTCCCCAGAAAGCAGAATCTGGGGCAGAGGTCTATGAGCTTTTCCTTTATTAGGGAGAAAGATCCCAGGGAACAAGATGAAGAATATGGGGAAGGAGACAGGGAAGGAGGGAGAGTCAATCTGAAGATGCGCTACTGAGCTGGCAGCTGATTACTCGGTATCTCTTAAAACCATCTTAGGACAGTTTGTCTGGACGAAAAAAGAGGTAAGAACTCATCCATCGGTTTCCATATTCCCTTGGCAAAGGTTCGTACATGGAGCATTACCTCCCCACACTCTGGGGACACACAGGAACACTGAACATACCTGGACATAAACAGAGCAGGTCCTGCAGAGATGAGAAGGATGTTTGGGGTATGAGGTGAGGCGCCATCAGGTCGCACCTGTGTGAAGCCAGTGAGCTCTCTCAGAGCTGGTGCCTCAGTGGGTGCTGGACCAAGAGGCCAGTGAGGACAAGAGGATCATAAGCAGAGCAGAAACAGCATCCAATTCAGGGTCAGAGGAGGTGGTGTGGGCTGAACTGTGTCCCCCCAAACTCATATATTGAATTCCTAACCAACGGTACCTCATCATGTGGCCTTCTTTGGAAGCAGTGTCATTGCAGGTATAATTAGTTAAGATGAGGTCATACTGGAATATAGTGGGTCCCTAATCCAATCCCTTGGCAAAGGTTCATACATTGAGCATTGTCCGTATAAGACTGGTGTCCTTATAAGAAGGGGAAATTTGGACACAGAAACACACACAGGGAGGATGTGTTGTGACCATGAAGGCAGAGTTCAGGGTAGTCCTTCTACAAGCCAAGGCATGCTGAAGATGGAAGTAATCCACTAGAAGCTGAGGGACAGGCACCCAACAGGCTCCTGCACAGCCTTCCGAAGGAACCAACCCTGCTGACACCTTGACCTTGAACTTGCAGCCTCCAGAACTGTGAGACCATAAGTTTCTGTCATTTTAGCCGCTCTGCCTGTAACGCTTTGTTGTGGCAACCCCAGGAAACTAACAGAGGAGGTGAGATTGGGGGCAGGGAGGCCCATCTGTGGGGGGCATCATGTCAGTCAGGCACTCAGTAACTGGGGGAAAATCCCAAACTCAAGTGGGTGATGGCAAAATGGGGAACTTATCGGCTCATGGAATGGGGCTCTCCAAAGGAAGTTCTTTGACTTCAGGCTTGATTCAAGGGTTTGAACGAGGATGGTAGGGCTCTCTAGTCCTTGCCCCCTTGTCTCCACATGTTTTGAACTGCACGTTTGTGTGCCTCCAGAATTCCTATGTTGAAACCCTAACCCACAATGGGATGGTATGTGGAGATGGAGCCTTTGAGAAGTGATTAGATTTAGTTGAAGTTATGGGGATTCTTCATGACGGGATTAGGCCCTTACCAGAAGAGACCAAAGAGCATGCTCTCTCTCTCTCTCTCTCTCTCTCTTTCTCTGTCTTTCTGTCTCTCTCTCTCTCTCTCTCTCTCTCTGCCATGTGAAGATACATCAGGGAGATGTCCATCTGCAACCCAGGAAGAGAGCCCTCATGAGGAAACAAGCAGGCCAGTACCCCAGTCTGTAGGACTTCCCAGCCTCCAGAACAGTGAGAAATAAATTTCTGTGGTTTATAAGCCACCCAGCTTAAGGCATTTTGTCACAGCAGCCAGAACAGACCAAGAGAGGTGCCTGTGTCTTGATCTCTAGAGAGAGCATTGGCCAAGGCCAACCCAGCCATGAGAGAGAGACAGAGAGAGGCAGGGCTGGGCTGTGGCTGGCTGGGGTGTGGACTGATCCAGAGCTGGCAGTGGGCCAGAGGAAGTTCAGCTCCCCAGGGCTTGATCTGGTGAGAGGACATGGAGGTCAGCAAACAAGTTAGGGTCCTGAGGCACCGGGTGGGGGTGGGGTTCAGCAAGGAGGTCTTGGTGGACAGGATGTGGCAGTGGCAGAGGAGCTAGTTCTCCAGAGCTGAGACCAGAGATGATACCAGGTAAGTGGCCCTTCACCTGTGCTCTGTGGCCTCACTTCTGTAGAGAATCGAGGCCAGCTTCAGGGTCAAGCTTCTCGGCTGGAAGCTGGGAGTTGTTGCTGTGGTTCACTGAGTGGCAGGGATACAGTGATGACTGAGAAAATGCTGAAGAGACCTGGAAGTCCCCCATAGAAGAAATCTGATTCTTACAGCACTGCGGAGAGGCAGTCTGGGAAGGCCTTTCTTCCCAGAGTATCTCTTCAAGGTTCTGATACACCTCACAACCCCTGCAAATACAGACAGACCGGAATGGGGCTCCCAGGTCCAGAGGAGATATTGGGAAAGGGTCCGAGGAGCAGAGCAAGATGTCTGCTTAGCCGGCAGTAGCCAGCACTCCCAGCCTGGGCAGCCAAACAGGCATCTGCAAGGGCACTTGACAATGATCGGTGGAGCAGGAGGGTGCTTGAGAGTGTGGCTGCTTAATCATGGCCTTGAGGTTTGTTGTTGTTTAAATGTCACCACTTATTTGAAACTAATTCCTGTCAGACTGCGAAAAGTTTATCAGTGTAATTGGGTGCCGGCAAAAAGCTCTCTTAAAATACACATCCTTTCATTCATAAAGCTATCAATGGGGCATTTGATTAGCATCTTTTTGACTGCCAAGGAAACCATACTGAAAGCAGGGCATGCATTCAGAACAAAGAACTCCAGCTCGTGGGTGAAAACTCTGCGATAGCCATATCTCCCCCACCAGATAGTGTGCTTTGTGATGGCTGGCAGCCTGTGCCCCTTGGAAATGTCATTTTCAGCCCCTTCTGGGCTTGTGACTAAGGTGTGGGTGGTGGATCTACAAAGGATTTCCCAAAAAGAAGGCCTCCTTTACATACCTTTTGTTCTGTGGACTGACCCACTTGTCCCACCCACATACCTGCAGCAGGCGGGAGACTTGTGCCTTAACTGGGCAGCTGTGAGCACCAGTTTTTTTCCCCAAATTCCTGGGTGCTATCTGAGCATGCTGCCATTTGGCAGTGGGGCCTCAGTCACATCCTGATGGAGAAAATGTGAAGGTTTGTCATCAGCTTATTTAACAATTCAGAGGCTGGAGTCTATTCCACTTTTTGTCCAGTATGTAGCTTTAAAACAGTTACATATAACATGGAACAGTATGACATGAAAAGAGAGAGGTTTATAGAGGGAGATGGGAATCGTGACAGCCCCTGCTTACGGAGTTTGCCCCTCCAGTCCTGAATTCTTCTGCATCCCCACATCCTGCTTGTCTGGAAAACGGCTGCAGCTTACTACTTCGATTCTTGGCCTTCCAGAAACTGGACTCCTGGCCCATCTTTTCATCTCTTTGGAGAAACAAACAACAAACAATAATCTCGTCATAATTAAAATTCACTGTGATATAAAGCTACTCTAAAAATAGTACAATTAAAATTAAAATTTATTTCATTTCTTGAGCTGACATTTCAGACAGCCAGGGGCCTCCCACTAAACTTGAAGGTGATGAGTCTCTGCTCAGTCTTACCTCCCGGGCTTCTGTTCCAGCATGAGTCTGAGCTCCATTCAACTCTTCCCGGGCCTTTTCAGCTCTAGGTGTAAAGGTTCAGTGTGAACTCGTAGAAAGAAGACAGGCTTTTCAGTCAACAGATCTGAATTCTTACACGCACTGTCTCATAGTCCTTGGTCTCAGTTTCCATGTTTGTACAGTGAGGATCATGGGTTCCAAGGATTTGGGTTCCAAGGTGGGGTTGGACAATGAAACCATAGCTGTCCAGTGTGGTGGCCATGGGCCACATGTGACTTCTGAGCACGTGAAATAGAACTGGCACAAATTGAGATGTGCCAAGTGTAAATTACACATTGAATTTCAAAGACAGCCCCTACAAAGAATGTGAAGTGTCTCATTAATAATTTTGTATATTGATTATATGTTGAAATAGCAATATTTTAGATATATTGGGTTAAAGTATGAAAATCAACATCAATCTTTTCGTTTTACTCTCACTATTTTTTAGAGCAGCTTTATAGTCACAGTGAAATGGAGTAGAAAGAACCCAAATGACCACTCCATCTGTCCTAAGCCAGTCTGAGGGCTTTCTGTCCAGCCCTAACGCTGTACCATGATCCTCACTGTACAAATATGGAAACTGAGACCAAGGACTATGAGACAGTCCTTATAAGAATTCAGATCTGTTGACTGAAAAGCCTGTCTTCTTTCTACGAGTTCACACTGAACCTTTACACCTAGAGCTGAAAAGGCCCAGGAAGAGTTGAATGGAGCTCAGACTCACACTGGAACAGAAGCCCAGGAGGTGAGACTGAGCAGAGACTCATTACCTTCGAGTTTAGTGGGAGGCCACTGGGCTGTCTGAAATGTCAGCTCAAGAAATGAAATAAATTTTAATTTTAATTGTACTATTTTTAGAGTAGCTTTATATCACAGTGAATTTTAATTATGACGAGATTATTGTTTGTTGTTTGTTTCTCCAAAGAGATGAAAAGATGGGCCAGGAGTCCAGTTTCTGGAAGGCCAAGAAGGACTTCCCGTATCCTTCCTGGGCCCCAAACATGCACAGCCTCCCCGTTAGCTACACTGTCCACTAGAGTGGTGTGTTTGTTACAGTTGATGCCAGACTCCATGGTTCGGGGTTTGCTCTTGGTGTTGTACATTCTATGGATTTGGACAAATGCATCATGACACGTAACCACCATTATAGTATCACACAGAATAGTTTCATGGCCCTAAAAATCCTCCGTGTCTTACCTATTTATCACCTCCTTTCCTGTTAAACCCTGGCAACCACCGATCTTTTTACCATCCCCGTAGTTTTGCCTTTTCCGGAAAGCCATGTAGTTGGAATAATACTGTATGTTGTCTTTCATATTGGCTTTTTTCACTTAATAATAAGCATTTAAAGTTCCTCCATTTCTTTTCATGGCTTGACAGCTCATTTCTTTTTAGAGCTGAGTGATATTCCATTGTCTGGATGTGCCAAAATTTATTTATCCACTCACCTACTCGAGGACATCTTGGTTGCTTCCAAGTTTTGGCAATGATGAATAAAGCTACTGCTGTAAACATCCATGTGCAGGTTTTTATGTGAACATAAGCTTTCAACTCCTTTGGGTAAATATCAAGGAGTACTTTTGCTGGATTGTATGGCAATGGTGTGTTTAGTTTTGTAAGCCACTGCCAAACTTCAGCCGATTCCTGGTTTCCCTATTCTCGGCAGGCTGGCCTCACAAAGTTCGTCTCCTGCAGAGCTCCAAGGAAGCTGGTTTTGGCTGAATCTGAAGATGATCAACACTGGTAGGATGCTGCTGTGTCATAGACTGGAACCCCAGCTCCTGATCATGCTGGAGTGGGGCTGCTGCTCCCTGCAACCCCACCTGCCTCCCCCTTGAGCTGGAAGAGAAGGGCTGATGGCCAGAGTTCTGCCATACCCCACTACGATCAGATCAAGCTCTGATCCCACCAGGCCAGGGGCTGTGCTTCCTTGATCATATAAGCCCAAGGTCCGGGGTCGCTCTCCTGGAGTCTGACATCAGCCCGGCTAGGTCCCAGTGCGCTGCCCTGGAAGGGTCAGAACGCTTGTTCCTGAGATTATCTCTGTGGATTTTCCCTGATGAACTCTGATCTAGCAGGAAGTGTATGGGCTGCTAAGTACTTTTCCCTTGTTTGCTCAAGGAGTTTGCGGCCCCAAGATCATTTCCAAAGCCTTTTGCTTCAGCTTGCTAAAGGGAGGCTGCTCTCACTCTCTTCAGCTTGCTAAAGGGAGGCGGAGTTCTGAGGAAGGCAGGCACCTTGAGGGATGTTGAAAGTTGCCTCTGTTTGCTGTGCCTACCACCTCCTTCTAGTCCTCCTCTCGCCGCCCAGATCACCCCCTACAATGCATTACCCATGCCTGCCCCCCACCACCCAGAAGCTATGGGGGCTCTGGTCCAAGCCCCACACTTGTCCGAAAGAGGTGCCTGGGCCCCACAGAAGCCTTGTCGGATGATGGCAGCTGTCTTCTGATAGTTCAATGGATCTGCCACCTACACAGAGAGGTCTGGAAGTCGCTAACTCTCTTTGAGTCTCAGATTCCATAGTAGTCAAATGAAGGGTTTGAACCAGAATATTTTCAAGAATTTGTGCTCTTCTAAGAGTCCATGGTTTTTTTAAAAGTTAATTTAAGTTTTAAAATTTATTTTTTATTTTACTTAAACATTTTTATTTATTTTTTAAAATCTTTTATTTTAGGTTTCAGGGTACATGTGCAGGTTTGTTACATAGGTAAACTTGTGTCATGGGGATTTGTTGCACAGATTATTTAATCACTCAGGTACTGAGCCTAGTACCCAACAGTTATTTTTCTGATCCTCTCCCTCCTCCTACTCTCCATACTCAAGTAGGCCCCAGTGTCTGTCGTTCCCCTCTTTCTGCCCATGGGCTCTCATCATTTAGCTCCCACTTATAAGTGAGAACATGTGGTATTTTGTTTTCTGTTCCTGTGCTAATTTGCTAAGGATAATGGCCTCCAGCTCTAGCCTACACTATGGAATACTATGCAGCCATAAAAAAGAACAAGATCATGTTCCTGTAAAGGACATGTTCCTGTAAAGGACATGATCTCATTCTTTTTTATGGCTGCATAGTATTCCATAGTGTATATGTACCACATCTTCTTTATCCAATCTACCATTGATGGGCATTTAGGTTGATTCCATGTCTTTGCTATTGTGAATAGTGATGCAATGAACATGTGCATGCATGTGTCTTTATGGTAGAACGATTTATATTCCTTTGCGTATATACCCAGTAGTGGGATTTCTGGGTTGAATGGTAGTTCCGTTTTTAGGTCTTTGGGGGAATTACCTCACTGTTTTCCACAATGATTGAATTAATTTACACTCCCATCAACAGTGTATAAGCATTCCTTTTTCTCTACAACCTTACCAGCATCTGTTATTTTTTGAGTCTATGATTTATCTTTGTGGGAAATAGAGTAATTTTAAGGCCCTCCAACCTCTCCATGGAATGAAGTAGAGATCTGCCAGCAAAGCCAGCATCAGGACCGAGTAGAATATCCAGTACATGGCAGGTGCTGCGTGATTTTTGTTAAAATCATAATCTCATTTTAAGAGGACTGTCCTACACAGGCCAAGCTTGATTCCATGGCTCTTCCAGTTAATTTCCTCATCTAAGTTAGTATTAGCCATGTCCACATCTGAGCTGTGCTATTAAAAGCCAGACCAGCAGCCTCATTGCTCCCATCGACGGGCATATGGTACTAGATAAAAAGCCATAAATGTCCAAACTGTTGAGAAAAAATGTGAGATGAGTTGAGGGGGACACAGGTTGCCAGCCTGCCACTCTGGGCCCCGTGCTGGCCTGGGTGCAGCCCTGTGTCCTGTGTTGCTGACCTGTCTCCCAGTGTCAGGCTTGGGCCTCCCTAGGAAAATTTTCCACGGGGCTCTGGGCCTCCTCCTCCCTCCTGCCTTGCCTGAACTGGCCCCACACTCAGGACTGGGGAGTGTCAAAGTGTCTGAGCCTGGGGGAAGGAACAAATGCAAAGCACGTGAGGATTCCTCCTCTGGGGAGAGTTTATCCCATAAGTAATGACATCACGGTTCCCCAGCCTTCCAGGATGGCATCCTCAAGGTCATCTTCATCCTCTCTTCCTCTACAGGCTCTGCCACTGCAGCTACAAACTGCAGCGAAGGCCCCCATTAGGAAAAATACTCCCCACGACTTTGCCAGCCCCTGTTCTGGACCTTCTTCCCCTCAGAGCCAAGCCCCACAAGAGTGTTCTACACTCCTGGCCACCACACTCTCACTTTCTCTTTGCTTCTCAGCTGACAGGCATTTTCACTTCTGTGACTGCTGAAACTGCTCTGCATAAAAGCCCATCTCTACTAAAGATAAAAAATTAGCTGAGTGTGATGGTGGACACCTGTAATCCCAGCTACTTGGGAGGCTGAGGCAGGAGAATCACTTGAACCCAGGAGGCGGAGGTTGCAGTGAGCCGAGATCACACCATTGCACTCCAGCCTGGGCACTAAGAGCAAAACTCTGTCTCAAAAAAAAAAAAAAAAAAAAGCACAAGTGGCATGGTCTTGCCATGCGATTTGGGTCCTTGCAATACTTGATCTTTGCAGCTTCATTCTTGACATCACCTCCCTGAAATCTCCTCTTCCCTTAGCTCCCATGGCATGACTCCAGCTAGGTCCTCTGTCCCTCATATGCCAGGCTTTCCTGGTTCTGCTGTAGCTTTTGTGTCCTGCCCCCAACACCCTCCATAAGCAATTGCAACTGTGCCCCGTTCCCAGACTCACACCTTCTCCAGTCTCCGTCTACCTGCAGGCTGGACGCCTCCACGGCATGTTCCACACATACCTCAAGTGCAAGTCCAAAGCAAAATATGGTCCTTCTCAGATTCCAGCTGGATTTTCCATCACAGTTATTCCTATTGTGAACCACTGAATTGCCTAGTTAGGGGCATCTGATTCAGACTTGTTCCTTTAGCTTGGACTATGTCAAGAACCTCCCTCAATGACATCTCTGCCACCAGGCCTTTTGTCCAGCGATCCTTTCTCTGGACAACGTCTCACATCTGACCTTGACTCTCCCACTCAGCGGTTCCTGCCCTCTGCAGGATGGGGTCCCCGTGCTTTCACATGGCCCCTGGCCATTCACAGCTTCCCCCTGGCTGGCCTTCCTCTCCTGCTTGTTCCAGCACCCCCTCACTCCCACCCCATGCTTGAATCCACAGACTCCTTATTTTTGGGTCCTCACATATGCCACACTGTGCCCAGCTCAATGCCTTCCGAATCTCATGCTTTCCAATTCCAAGTTTACCTTCTCTGAAAACTTTTCCTGGCTCCCTTGTTTCGTGTCTGCATCCCTGGATTTTGCACTTTGCCTTGTTCCTGTTGGGCACTTAGGGAATCTTAGAGCTGGAAGGATGCAAGAGAGTCTCCATCTTTTCACCTGGCTGTAACCCCGGCAAACAAAGGGTGTAGGTTGTTATCTCCTGGGCAGCTGGCACAGTGCCTGGCCCAGAATAATGCCCCCTGAGAGGACAGTAAATTGGTTTCCACCATGAAGAACAGATATTGGAGCTTGAAGGTGAGCTAGCCTCCAACAGGGGACCAGGGAGGTGCTAGGCCAGCGAGCCCACCTTCCCCACGATGCAGCCAATCAAGACTCCAGAGGGCTCCAGCAACAGCATGAAAAAAATAGCTCTCCATACAAAGCATGGAAACTAGACTTTAGGGCCTAGGGGAATGGGGCTTGTCTGCCTCTATTTAAGAAAGCAGGACAGGCCGGGCATGGTGGCTCACACCTGTAATCCCAGCACTTTGGGAGGCCGAGGAGGGTGGATCATGAGGTCAGGAGTTCAAGACCTGCCTGGCCAACATGGTGAAACACCGTCTCTACTACAAATACAAAAAATTAGCCAGGCGTGGTGGTGGGCGTCTGTAATCCCAGCTACTCGGGAAGCTGAGGCAGAGAAATGCTTGAATTTGGAGGGAGGAGGTTGCAGTGAGCCGAGATCATGCCACTGCACTCCAGCTTAGGCGACAGAGTGAGATTCCATCTCAAAAAAAAAAAAGAAAAGAAAAGAAAGCAGGACAGTATATTGCAAATTAAGCTCAATAAAAAGAGAGAAAGAGAGGGAGAGAGAGAGAAAGAGGGAGGGAGGAAGGGAGGGAGAGTGAGAAGGAAAGGGGCAGTCAGGCAGACCATGGTCCCCTGCCAATTCTCTGGGCACCGGTGGAAGCAAGTTCTGCGTCTTGGGCACAGTACTTTATCACCTGATTGTACTTCCTCCACCTTTCCCCAGGCAGAACTATTGACCCAGGGATCTATAACATTTGTATATATCAACACAGAAACCAATTAACAAATGCTTATATTCCTGTGCAAATATGCAAACTTCCTTCTGCAGACAGGGGTAAGCAGACACCTGGCAGTATTTTTAGAAATATTTAAGAAACACAGTTCAGGTAAGAAGCAGGCTGCTGTACCCTCCTCCGAGAGGACCAGTACCTAGAACCACCTGTTTTTCTTTGTCTTCCCTGCTCTGCTCTGAGCGTGGGGATGGTCCTTATCCTTAGCTTCATCTTTATTAAAGCTGGCATTTTCAGCTGGGTGTGGTGGCTCACGTCTGTAATCCCAGCATTTTGGGAGGCCAAGGTAGATGGATCACTTGAGGTCAGGAGTTTGAGATCAGCCTGGCCAACATGGTGAAACCCCGCCTCTGCTAAAAATACAAAAATTAGCCAGGCGTGGTGGCATGTGCCTCGAGTCCCAGCACTCGGGAGGCTGAGGCACCAGGATTGCTTGAACCCTCTGCAGTCAGCCAAGATTGCTTCACGGCACTCCAGCCTGGGGGACAGAGACTCTGTCTCAAAAAAAGAAAAAAAAAACAGCTGGCATTTTCTTCAGTTCTTATGCTGTGCCAGATACATGCATTTACTCACTTCACAATGAGAGGGAAGCCACTATGTTTGTCATCAGTGAAGCAGGGTAATTTGGGAAGCATTATCCAACACCACCTACTATGGGCCAGGCCCATGGCAACTGGAAGCAGCACTACTCAGAAGGAAAAGGCATGTGGAGAAGCTCAGAGCTGACAGGGGAGTCTATATTTGATTGTAAGATTTCTGTACAAAATGCCTTTCTGTGTGCTGTATCATGTAGTGAAAGATAAGAAACAATAGAATGTCCAGCAATCAGAGAAGGCTTGACAAGACAGGCTACTTTTTAACAGCACTGAGAAAAGCTTGCTATCTATTAAATATTTTAAAATCAGTTGCTAAGCCGCAGAGTAAGCACCTCATTATTTGGAAATGCACTTATACATTCACAGAAGCAACACCCCTGGAGGGAAATACCCCAGTGATCATGGGATTGTAGTAACATTTTTGTTTGTACTTTTTATATTCCTTAAATTTAAAATTCCTTATGAATAGGTGAAAAGCCTGTCCAGGAAGCTTTGTAGGGTCCCCTGAGTTCTTGGTGTTCTGTCAGTGGAGGCTGGTTTGAGTCATTCCTGTAAGAGAGCTACCCAAAACAAAATGAAGGGGAAGCAGGAGATGCAAGCTTCTAAGCCTCTGACACCTTTTGCAAAATTGCTTTCCTGCAATGCTGTGCTGCTTCACCTGCTCCCCCACCAGCTGGTGTGAGAGGTACAGGGTTTGGAGCAGACAGCTGTGTTCTGAAGGGATGGCATTCTGTCTGGTGACACTTAGTGGCAGTCCACTTTTCTCCCACAGATTGCTGGCTGATCTAGTTGCCAAGGCTCCTGAGTAGGTGTTATCTCCAAACATGCAGTCATGGTTAAGAGATGAGAAATACACGTGTTTGGACAAGAGACTGGAGCACAGTTCAATCAGCCTCAGCAACATTATCTCTAAAAGCAAATGAGTCCTGCTGTTGCTGGGGACCTACTCCTCTGCCTTGGCTGGAAGTGTTTGAGTCTGTCTGAACGGTCTGTTATCTCCAGGGCAACATAAAGTTTGCAGGAGGCCTGTTCACTCCAGGTGTTATCGCTGTCGCTGAGATGGTGCTAAGCCTACAGGCGGCAGGAGGCCAATTGCTAAGGCAGAGGGAGCCTTTAGTGGGGAGCCAGGCAGCCTGGGGACCCTGGGCCACAGCTTCCTTCCCTATGACATGCACTCTCATGCCCTTCCCACTCAAACATCCAGTCATTCTGCACGTCCTGGTAGAGGGAGATGCCAGGCGAACCCTCGGGGTAACCCCAGCACCTGGAAAAACTCCTCAGTGGGTTTGCTCAGTGTCATTTAAGGATCCCAACCTTGAAGGTTTTGGACTTGGGATCACACATTGTTTCATTCAGAGTGTTAGGATAGGGGTCTGTATAGTTCAGGCATCTCAAGTTAGAGATGAGAAACCAGACTCAGAAGTCTGACGGTCCTTGGAGGCCGGCCGAGAGAAAGACCTGAGGCTCCCCGTCTCCCTGCCTGGGCACCTCATACCACCTTGCTTTTCCCTGCCCCATGTCAAGAGCAAGCTGGAGCCGAATTTGGGGCTCCCAGTTGGGCTCCAAGTGTGATTTCCTCCACACTTGATGACCAGGAGGCCATTTGTAGGAGGCTGGGATGAGCAAAGTGGGTCAAAGTGCCCCCTGCCTCCAAATGCTCGCGTGGAGGTTGGGCAGTCAGACACCATGGGGGAGAAACCCCAGGACTTTAGCAGAACAAAAGAAGGGCACCCTCCCTTCCTGGGCCCTGCCAGACCCTTGGCAGAAGGCCAGGGCTACTCATGGGGCGGGGAGTGGGGGAAGGAGGGAGGAGCAGGGATGGTCTGTTCCAGCCCTCCTGTGTTCATCCTGAGCCGAGTCACTGAGGCCTGCAGCACAGCTATGACACAACTTTTGGGGTGTCCTGGTAGGAGGGCTTTGGGCTACAGGTGGGGCATTGGAAGCAGATTTCTCTCTATAGTAAGGCAGTAGATCCCCAGGCCTTGCCCTCTGTTCCTGAAAATGTGAGTTGTACCTTGAACCACAAAATGGCTGTGGGGTGCAGCTTGGTGTGTTGGAAGGAGGGCTTTGGATGTGGGCTGCAACTGCATCATCCTTGCTCAGTTCTCATGTGGCAGGTGTGCTCCTGCCTGGTCCGGGGCAGTCTGGCAGGCTGCTCTGTAGCCCCAAGCCTGGATCTGCCAAAACTGGCAAGGAGTGGAGGCCTCCCCGTGGAGCAGTGCCTGAACCTGCAGCCCCTGGGGCAGACACTCCTGGCTCCTGGGCACTCACTCACCATGGCTCCCCACTTTCTTAGTTGGCTCGGGCCGCTATTGCAGAATGCCATACACCACGTGGCACGTGGACAACATAAGTTTATTTCTTACAGTTCTGGAGGCTGGGAAGTCCAGGATCAAGTAGCTGAAACAGATTTGGTTTCTGGTGAGGGCCTCTTACTCTTTCATAGATGGCGCCTTCTTGCTGTGTCCTCCTATGGCAGAAGGGGTGAGGGATCTCTCCAGGGTCTTTTATAAGGGACCTAATCACCCCTGCACAACCCAGCCTCCTAATAGCATCACCTTGAGGTTTAGGATTTCAGCACATGCACTTTGGGTAAACACCGTCAATCTAGAGCATCCTCCCCCCGCATCATGCTGGCTTCCGGACTCTGCTCCCAAGTGAATGTCCACACCCAAGGGGGGCCCTGAGTCTTCCTTAAGTCTCTTTGTCTAGGACAGACTGTGCTGAAAGGGCCCATCTAATCTCCTGATATGGTTTGGCTGTGTCTCCATCCAAATGTCATCTTGAATGATAGCTCCCATAATTCCCACATGTCGTGGGAGGGGCCTGGTGGGAGGTAATTGTATCATGGGGGCAGGTCTTTCCCATACTGTTCTCGTGATGCTGAATAAGTCTCATGAGATCTGATGATTTTATAAAGAGAAGTTCCCCTGCACATGCTCTCTTTTGCCTGCCACCATGTAGGATGTGACTTTGCTCCTCATTCACCTTCCACCATGATTGAGAGGCCTCTCCAGCCATGTGGAACTGTGAGTCGATTAAACCTTTTTCTTTTACCCAGTCTTGGATATGTCTTTATTAGCAGTGTGAGAATGAGCTAATACATCTCCTGACAGCCTGGGCCCCACCCACCCCCACCCCTCAACCCTCCTCAGTCTGTCCTTGTACAGGTTCCTTCTCCTGCAGCCCCATCTCGCTTCATGTGACTTCTTTCTTCCTTAAACTCTCTGCACTCTCTCCTGCTCCCAGGATTTTGTATCTGCAGTTTCCTCTGCCTGGAATGTACTCCACCTGGCCTACAACTCCCAGCTAGCCTGGAGTGGAGAGCTTCTATGTCACTCCCTCTGGGATGCTCTTGCTGACCCCCAAGACTGGCTCAGGCCCTGAGTTCGACCCTCTTGTGGTTCAGAGAATTCCTGGGCATAGCCATGCCCTCACTTGTGCTTCCACTGCCACATGGGGTTGCTGGACTGTTGTCCACTTCCTCAGGGGCATCTGCTTCCTCAGAACAGGGCCTGGGCATTTTGTCACCTAGGATTCCAGTGCCAGCACAGAGAGTGGGCTCAGCTGCAGACACTCAGCAATGTTGACTGAATCAGGAGGCAGCAGGTGACTCGATGTTATGGGCTCACGGGAAAACCCCTCTCCTCTTCAGAGGGCCTTACCCTGAGGCGGCCTCACCCCAGTTGTCTTCACTGGGTAAGGGTCTCTTTGCCCACCCGCTGCTGCCTCACTAACCTTCCTGGCCTCAGACAAATCTAAACTCAAGTCAAAACCAGGGTGAAGATGGGCCTACGTCAGCTCCAGAGAGGGACAGCCTGAGTTCCCCTCCCTCTGGTCCCATTTCCTTGGGAGGATCAGCCTCTTCCTGGATGATGACACCAGGGCTCTTCACCCACTAGGGAGGGGTCCAGCCCATGTCTGTGGCTCTGGTCTGGGCCCTGAGGGGACACACAGTAAGTGGCAAACACAGACGGACCAGGCCGAGAGCAAGACAACATCCTCAATGGTTAAGATGTATAGGCCAGAGGGAAATTGATCAGGAAATGAACTTAGAAGTATCCAGGGACTGATGGGGAAGGAGCTGTATTTGGAGGACCTGTGATGCAAGTTACAGAATCAAAGATGTGGCCCCTGGTTTTGCTGTGTCCTCCTGGAATGGGTAGCAGGACAGGAGCCACCATGCAGAGGGTGGTCACACACTCGGGCTTGCTTTAACCTGGGTCTTTCCTTACCAATGCATTTCTGGCTACACTGGGGAAAACGAGGTGGCTAACACATTTTTTTTAGGTGTTAGAAGACCTGTGTGCACTTTCTCTCTTTCTCCCTGCACTCCAGCCACACTGGCCTTTGAGTTTGTAGAATGCCTACACTCTGCTCTGCCTCAGGGCCTTTGCACGTACTGTGCTCACTTTATGGAAAGCTTTACTCTCAATCTCATCCAATCTCTTTAATTATTTGAATGCTATCCATCCTTCAACATTCAGTTCAAATATCATAGCCAGTAAAATCTGCTGTAATAAACTCTCTTAGTTTCCTCCAATTTTTCTTCCTAATATTTATCTCAGTTTGTAGTCATGTATTCTTGCGATGGTTGGGCTAATATCTGCCTCCTCACTAGTGTTTAACCTCTAGTAAACACTAGAGGTTTAATCTCTGAGGTCACATCTCTGAGGGCAGAGATATGAGTGACCGGTCCAGTCTTATTCCCAACATCAAGGCCAGAGCCTGTCAGGCAGCAAATGCTTAGTAAGCATTTGTTGAGTTGACTTTGAATTGTCAGAGCCAGAGGGTCGGTTTAGCATTGACACATGGGGGACATCATGGGAGAAGCCACGTTTTGTTAGGACCTGGCCCTGGGGAGATTTCTTAAGCCAAAGGCTTTGGGTCTGCCACCCTTCCATCCAAGGAGAAGTCTGAAGACAGGGTCAGCATTTTGTTTGTCCTCCACAGTTGCTAACTTTTTTTTTATTTTTTGAGACAGAGTCTCCCTTTTTCACCTAGGCTGGAGTGCAGTGGCATGACTTCAGCTCACTGCAACCTCCGCCTCCCGGGTTCAGGCAATTCTCCTGCCTCAGCCTTCCGAGTAGCTGAGATTACAGGCATGTGCCACCAAGCCCAGCTAATTTTTGTATTTTTAGTAGAGACAGGGTTTCACCATATTGGCCAGGTTGGTCTTGAACTCCTGACCTTGTGATCCACCCTCCTCGGCTTCCCAAAGTGCTGGGATAACGGGCATGAGCCACCGAGCCTGGCCCACAGTTGCTAACTTTTAACACACAGGACATTTCATGTAAAAATTGTGACTTGCAGCTTCTTTTGAAGAATCTGAAGTCAAGCAGCCCTGGCCTGCATTTGTGCATGGCTACCTTTGTGGGATCTTGGTCACAGCTGACCCTTTGGGTGGGCATGCTACTCTTCAGTTAGTTGGGCCCTCTTCACTAGTTTTTTCACTAGTTTTTAGCACCTGCTTGCCCCTGTTAGCAGGTATGGACTTTTACCTGAACACTCAGATTAGAAAGAGATGGAAAAACCACATGGCCTTGCAGAATAAGGGAGATCTCATCTCCATGCAATGAGGAATCAGTGGCAGGCCTCTTTGCAGAACCTCCCTGGAAGGGAATTGCTATGGTTGCATGTGTCCCACAAAGTTTATGTGTTGGAAACTTAATCCCCAATGCAGCAGTTTTGAGAGGAGGGAGTAATGTACAGAAAAATATCCAGAAATCTGTACAGTTGATATGGCTTGGCTCTATGTCCCTACCCAAATCTCCTGTTGAATTGTGGTCTTTAGTGTTGGAGGAGAGGCCTGGGGGGAGATGATTAGATCATGGGGGCAGATTTCCCCCTTGCTGTTCTTGTGATAGTGAGTGAGTTCTCATGAGATTACCACTTCCCCTCCTGCTCCGCCATGTGAAGGATGTGTTTGCTTTCTCTTCCCCTTCTTCCATGATTTTAAGTTTTCTGAGGCTTCCCCAACCATGCTTCCTGTACAGCCTGTGGAACTGTGAGTCAACTAAACCTCTTTAACTCATAAATTACCCAGTCTCAGGTCATTCTTTATAGCAGTGTGAGAACAGATTAGTACAACAGGGTTCCCCATGGATCTGTTATAAAAATTAGGTTGTGGATGTCTATCATGAAACTCCAGGAGGCTGGGCAAAGGGTGATTGGAAAGCAGTGAGCAGGCACTTTCAGAGCTCATGTGGGACATGGGGGGGACCCCTGCATTCCTACCAGCCAGAGTGGAGCGTCCTTGTAGAAAATCTGGTGCGTTCAGTTGAGATCCCAGAAAAGTCATGTCTTGGCAGGAGGAGTAAAGAAGCCCTAAATAAAGTCTAATCTAACCCCTTTCCTTCAGTCAAAGCTTCAAAACAAACCTCAAAAGGGTCAGGGTAATTTCTAAGTAACTCAGCTGGCTGCCAGAAAAATATCTACCAATCTTTAGAGGAGGACAACAAAATCTAGCATTAAGTAAGGTATAATTAACAATGTTTGGTGTCATATAAGAAATACAGACATGTAAAGATGCACAGAAGTGCAACTCCTACCAAGAGAAAAACCAGTCAATAGAAACACACTCAGGAATGATGGATGTTGGAAATAGCACACAAAGGATTGAAAACACCAATTACAGATATACACACGAATTTAAAGGAAACATGAAAGTAATCATCAAAGAAGGAGAAAAATTAAAAAGGAAATACAAGGGCCAAAAATAAAAATCTTAAATAAAAAAATTTCTTTATGAAATGAACAGATTAGACGTGAAGAAGAAAAGATCAGTGAACTTGAAAGTTGCAATAGAAACTTTCAAAACTAAAATTCAGTCAAAAGAGACTAAAAAGAAAATTTAAATGAATCTTTAGTAACCTGTGGGAAAATATTCATGCAAGTATATGGATCACATACTTGTAATTGGAAGCTGAGAAGGAAAGGAAAGAGGGAAGAGAAAAAATATTTGAAGAAATAATGGTAAAAAATGCTCCAAATTTGATGAAACATACAAAACCACCCATCCATGATGCTCAATAGATCAAAAGCAAGATAAGCACAAAGAAAACTATGCAAGGTAAAACATAATCCAATTGCTAAATGCCAGTGGCTAAGAAATGTGGGTGGGCTTCATCAAATCTATTGAAGATCTGAATAGAACAGACAGACTGACTCTCCTGCAAGTAAGAGAGAATTTCATCCTGCCTGACTGCTTTGAGCTGGGAGGTGGTTTTTTTTTTCCTGCCATTTTTGAACTGAAGTATCAGCTTTTTATGAGTCTTGAGCCTGCCAGCCTTTGAACTGGAAGTACACCATTGGCTCTGCTGTTTCCAGCTTACTAACTGCAGATTTTGGGACTTGTCAGCCTCAATAATCATAGGAGCCAATTCCTTACACACACACACACACACACACACGTTATGCATATGTACAAAATTATATATAGTTATATATTATATTTAAGTATAATCATATCTATCTATTCCAAAATTGGGTCTCTAATCTGATTACACTTTAAGTTGCTAATAACTTTATTTCCAATTGTAAAGAGAGCACTAATAGTCCATGGCATGATCTAGCAATAAAGATATCACCACTGGATACTCCTAATCAACCCCTTATAAGAGACAAGGAGCTGGGTAACTGTGTATACTTTCAATTATTTTCCTCACACTAACAAATATAATAAGACTCACCAGGTGTTTCTAATGTGAAGTGATACTAAGTGGACAAAGGATGAAAAACACTTAATGGTAAGTATGTGGGTAAATACAAAGGCTTTTCTCATTTTTAAATTTCCTTAAAAGATAATTGATTGTTTAAACAAAAATAATAACAACGTACTGTGTGGCTTATAACATATTAAAGCAAAATATGTAATGATAGCATGATGGACAGAATGGAGGAAACAGAAGTATATGGTTGTAAGGTCTTACATTGTACATAAAGTGTTATAATAGTATATTTGTAATGAGCTAATGATACATATTGTATACCCTCATGCAACCACTAAACATGAAGCCAGAGTTATAGCTAATGAACTCACAGTGGAGATAAAATAGAACCATAAACATTTTTAATTCCTCTAAAAGAAATCAAGAAAAGAGAAATAAAGGATGAAGAACAGATGAAATAAACAGAGAACAAATGACAAATGGTAGATTTATACCCAACTATACTGATAATTATATAAAATGAAAATGGTCTAAAAATTCCAATAAAAAGACAAATATTTTTAGACTGTATAATAAGGCAAGACTCAACTCTATGTTGTCTGAAGACCTCAATAATTTAAAGGCACAGGTAGGTCAAAAGTAAGAGGATGGAAAAAAATATACCATGTAGCACCAATTATAACAAAGTTGGAGGGGCTAGTTAAATATCAGAAAAAGTAAACTTCAGAACAAGAAATATGCAGAACAAGAAATAAACGAGAACATTTCATAATGATAAATTTATCAGAAAGAGAAAAATTGTAAACATATATTCACCTAATAATAGAACTTCAAAATATGACAAAGAAATGGACAGAAATGAAGGGGGAAGTAGAGAAATCTACACTTATATTTACAAATTGTCATACTTGTTTCTCAGTAACTTATAGAACAAGTAGAAAAAATGAATAAAGGGGAAGGACACTTGAACAATACTACTAACCAACTTGATTTAATTGATGCCTATAGAACCTTCTACCTAAATACAGATTTTTAGGTGTAGTGTTCTATATCCTAGGAATGCAAAGTCAGTTTAATCAACAGCGCAATAAATCAATCAACGCAATTCACCATATTCATAGAATCCACATTGTTTCCAACTGAACACAAAACTTTCATTATAATGGACCATATCTGGGGCAGAAAACAACTTTATACATTTAAGAGGACCAAAATAATATAGAACATGTTATCTAAATTCAGTGGAACTAAAATAGAAGTTAATAGCAGAAGGATATCTAGAAAATCCCCAAGTATTTGGAAACTGAGCAACATGCTTTTAAATAATACATGGATCAAAGAGAAAATCACAAAAGATATTTTAAAATAATTTTTCCTAAATAAGAATTAGAACACAGACTATCAAAATTTTTGTAATGATTAGAGACAAATTTATAACTTTAAATGATTTTTATTAGAAAATATAAAAAGTCCAAGGTCAATGATTTAAGCTTTACTTTTAGAAGTTGGAAAAAGAGGAGCCAATTAAACCTAATGTAAGTAGAAGAAAGGAAATCAAGTTAATAGCAGAAAACAATGTAATAGAAAAAGGAATAATAAAGAAAGTCAATAAGATAAAAAGTTCTTTGAAAAGATCAATAAAATTGATAAACTCCTAATAAAAAGTCATAAAACAAACTACCAACATCACTAATAAAAGAGGGAATAAAAATTACAGACTATGTAGAGATTAAAGAAATAATATGGGGATATTATAGAAGCTTTACGGCAACAAATTTGACAACCCAGAGGAAATGGGAAAATTTTTCAAAAGAAAAATTACTAAAGCCCAGTGAAGAAAAAATAGATAATCTGAATAGCTTTATAACCGTTAAAGAAATTAACTTTGTAATTAAAAACCTTCACACAAGGAAAATTCCGGGCTCCAGTGACTTCTCTAGTGAATTCAATCAAATATTTAAGGAAGTAGTAGTATCACTTTTATACAAACTTGCAGAAAGTAAAGGAGGAGGAAAGACTTTCTAACTTAATTTATGGGATCAGCATAATCCTGATATCAAACTCAGAGAAAAGATACTACAAGAAAAAAATCTTATAGGCCAATGTCCACAAGGAATATACATGCAGCTGGGCACCATGCTCACGCCTGTAATCCCAGCACTTTGAGAGGCTGAGCTGGGTGGATCACTTGAGGCCAGGAGTTCAAGACCAGCCTGGGCAACATGGTGAAACCCCATCTCTACTAAAAATACAAAAAATTAGCTGGGTGTGGTGGTGTACGCATGTAATCCCCGCTACTCAGGAAGCTGAGGCAGGAGAATCACTTGAACCTGGGAGGTGGAGGTTGCAGTGAGCTGAGATCGTACCACTGCACTCCAGGCTGGGAGACAGAGCAAGACTCTGTCTCCAAAAAAAAAAAAAAAAAAAAAAAAAGGAATATACATGCAAACATCCTTAAAATATTTCAGTATGTTGAATCTAGGAATATATGTAGAGGGTAATACACTATGACCAAGAGTGCTTATCCTAGAAATGCAAAGTTAATCAGTGCAATTGACCAATCAATGAATGCAATTCTAGCAGTTTAAAGCAGAAAACCCAGGTGATGATCTAGATAGATGTTATAAAAGCATTTGACAATATGCAATACTCATTCACGATGTACTTTTTTTTAAAAAAATAAAATCCTCTTAAAACACTGGCGTAGAAGGGAAATTCATCAACCTGAAAAAATGCTGTCATGAAAAACCTACAGGTATTATCAAATTTGATAGTGAAAGACATAATGTTTTCCTCCTCAGGTTGGGAGTGAGGCAGGAATGTCCACTTTTGCCATGATCATTCAACATTGTACCAAAAGTCCTAGGTGGTGCAATAAGGTAAGAGGAAATACCGACATAAGATTCGAAAGGAGGAGGTAAAACTGAATCCATTCATAGAAGAAATAATAATGTACTTTAAAATCCTAAGGAATTTACAAAAAGTTACTAAAATAAGCGAATTTAGCAAGGTCATAAGATACAATGGTCAGTAAACAAAAGATCAGTTGTTTTCCTAAATTGTGGCAATTTGGAAGATTAAATTATATAAATAATACTGTCTATAGTACCATTTGAAAATACTTACAAGATGAGCAAAATCTCTGTGTAAAAAACTATGAAACATTGTGGAGACAAAGTGAATTGCCAATATTGTTAAGAAGTCAGCTCTCCTGATTTTTGGTTGAAATTGACAAAGCGATTCCAAAATCTACATGGAAGTACAAATAATCTAGAATAATCAAAGCAATTTTTACAAAGAATGAATGTTGAGGACTTATCTACTTTATTTCAAGATTACAGGAAAGCGAGTAATGAAGACATGTGGTATAGGTTTCAGTTTAGACAATTCGTCAGTGGAACAGAATCAGATGTCCTGTTTCTGGACATACATAATATGTTGATTCCTAACAAAGTTACCAAAGTAATTTGATGGGGAAAAAGATAGTCTTTGAATAAATGGTGCTAAAACAAGTGAAGATCTATACATGAAAAAAGTGAACTTCAACCCTTACCTATACCATAACTTGAAATGTATCACAGACAAAAATAAAAGCTAAATTTGTAAAGCTTCTAGAGAAAAACATAAGAGAAAATCTTCACAACTTGGGCAGGCAAAGATTTCTCAGGGCACATAAAATTTTCGAGGAAAAAAATTGATAAATGGGCCTTATTGAAATTAAAAGTTTTTGGTCTACAAAAGACACCATGAAGAAAATGAAAGGGCAAGTTGCAGACCAGGAGAAAATATACACAGGTATTTGGCAAAGTAATGGTATGCAAAAATTAAAAAGAACCCTGGAAGATCAGTAAGAAGAAGACAAAACAACTTTATCAAAATGGGCAGAAAATTTTGAGCAAACACTTCCCGAAACAACCAATAAACACATAAAAAGATGCACTGCAGCATTACACATCAGGGAAATGTGACGACCCCTCACACCATGAGGATGCCTGAACTTAAAGATCAACAATTCTGAATTTTTGTAAGAATCGGGAGCAACTAGAACTCTTGTACAATGTTAGTGGAAATTCAGGATTAATGCTGTCACTTCGAAAAACAGTTTGGAAGTTTCTTATGAATTTAAATATATACTTACTATACAAACCAGAAATTTCCACATCAAGTTAAAAAGCTGCACAGCAAAGGAAATGACAAAGTGAAGAGACAGCCTACAGAATGGGAGAAAATATTTGCAAACTACCCATCTGATCAATAACCAGAATCTATGCAAAGCTCAAACAACTAAATAGGAAGAAATCTAATAATATAATTAAAAATGGGTAAAATATCTGAATAGACGCTTCTCAAAAGAGGTCATACAAATGACACATAGGCATATGAAAAGGTGCTCAACATCATTGATTGTCAGAGATATGCAAATCAAAACTACAATGGGATCTCATGTCAACCCGGTTAAAGTGGCTTTTATCCAAGAAAGGCAATAACAAATGTTGGTGAGGATGTGGAGAAAAGTGAACCCTTATACACTGTTGGTGGGAATGTAAATTAATACAGCCACTAGGATGAACAGTATGGAGGTTCCCCAAACAACTGAAAATAGAACTACCCTATGATCCAGCAATCCTACTGGTAGGTAAATACCCAAAAGAAAGGAAATTAGTATATCAAAGAGACAGCTGCACTTCCATGTTTATTGCAACACTATTCACAATAGCCAAGATTTGAAATCACTCTAATTGTTCAACAATAGACAAATGGATAAAGAAACTGTGGTACATATATACGATGGAGTACGATTCAGCCATAAAAAAGAATAAGATCCTGTCATTTACAACAACATGGATGGAATTAGAGGACATAATGTTAAATGAAATAAAAAAGGCACAGAAACACAAATTTTGCATGTTCTTACTCATTTGTGGGAGCTAAAAATTAAAAATATTGAACTCATGGAGATAGAGAGTGGAATGATGGTCACCAGAGCTGGGAAAAGGTTGTGGGTGTGGAGGGTGGGAAATGGAGATGGTTAATGGGTACAAAAGTAGAGTTAAATACAATGAATAAGATGCAGTATTTGATAGCACAACAGGTTGGCCAGTCAACAATAATTTTTAGTATATTTAAAAATAAGTAAGCGTGTATAATTGGAATTTTTGTATCACAAAGAAATGATAAATGCTTGAGGTGATGGATACCTTGTTTACCCTGATGTGATTATTACGCATTGCATGCCTGTATCAAAACACCTCATGTACTCCATAAATATATACACCTACTATGTACCCATAAAAATAAAAAAAAAACAGAAATTCCTCTCCTAGGTATTTATTTATTCAAGAGGAATAAAAACACCTGTGTTCACAAGGACTTATAAACAAATATTTATAACAATTTTAGTAGCCTCAAACTGGGGAAAAACCCCAGACAGTAGAATGGATAAGCAAATTGTGATATTGCTGCAGAATGGAACACTACCCAACATTAAAGCAGGAGAGATTACAGATACACATGACAAGGAGAATGGAGCCCAGAAACATTATGATGAGTGAAAGGAGCCCACACAAGAGACTACAGTCATGGTGGTATAGTTTGGCTGTGTCCCCACCCAAATCTCATCTTGAATTCCCATGTGTTGTGGGAGGGACCCAGTGGAGGGCAATGGAATCATGGGGGCAGATCTTTACTGTGCTGTTCTCATGATAGTGAATAAACCTCATGAGATGTGATGGTATTATAAGGGGGAGTTCCCTTGCACAAGCTCTCTCTTTGCCTGCTGCTAACCATGTAAGACGCGACTTGCTCCTCCTTGCCTCCCGCCGTGATTGTGAGGCCTCCCCAGCCACCTGGAACTGTAAGTCCATTAAATCTTTTTTTTTTTTTTTGTAAATTGCCCAGTCTTGGGTATGTCTCTATCAGCAGCTTGAAAATGGATTAATACACAACGATGCTCAATGACAGTGATGCGTTCTCAGAAACACATCATTAGGGGATTTTGTCATTGTGTGAACATCATAGAGTGTACTTACACAAACCTAAATGGTACAGCCCATTACATACCTGGGCTCTATGGCATAGCCTGTTGCTCCTAGGCTACCAATCTGTGCAGCATGTGACTGTACTGAATACTGCAGGCAACTGTAACATGGTAATATTTGTATATCCAAACATAGCTAAACATAGGAAGGGTAGAGTGAAAATACAGCATAGAAGACAAAAAGTAGTGCACCTCTGTGGGGCATCTACCATGAATGAAGCTTGCAGGTCTGGAAATTGCTCTGGATGAGCTAGTGAGTGAGTGGTGAGTGAATGTGAAGTCCCAGGACATCATTGTACACTATTACAGATTTTATAAACACTATAAACTTAGGCTACACTAAATGTATTTTAAATTTTTTTCTTCCTTCAATAATAAATGAACCTTAGCTTCTTTATGTTATCAACTTTATTTTTTTAACTTTTTGACTTTTTTATATTAATACTTAGCTTAAGACACACGTTGTATAACTGTACAAAAATATTTTCTTTCTTTATATCCTTATCCTATAAGCTTTTTTTCTTTTTTTACATTTTAAATTAGAAAAAAATTAAAATGAAGACACACACATTAGCCCACACCTACCCAGGGTCAGGATTATCAATATCACTGCGTTCCACCTCCACATCTTGTCCTACCAGATGGTCTTCTGGGGCCGTCATGCACATGGAGCTGTCATCTCCTGTGATGAGAGTGCCTTGTTCTGGAATCCCTCCTGAAGAACCTGCCTGAGGATGTGTTACATTAACTTTTTCTTTTTAATAAGTAGAAGGAGTGCATTGTAAAATAATCATGAAAGTATAGTATAGTAAATACATAAACTGCTAACAGTCATTTGTTATCATTGTCAAGTACTATGCACTGTACATAATTCTATGTGCTAGATTTTATACAACTGGCAGTGCAGGTTTGTTTACACCAGCATCACCACAAACACCTAAATAATACATTGCACTAGGTTGTTGCCAGGCGATAAGATTCTTTCAGCTCCATTATAATTTAATGGGATCACCGTCTGTAGTTGACTGAAGTGTCACACAGCATGTGACTGTATGCATATTCACCTCCTAGAACCCAGACTCATACGAAGAAGTAGGGAATACCCTACTCGCAACCATGTTTTATTTCCTAGTTTCTTCCATTGGCCATTTTCTTTTTCAGGCTGGAGACTTCCCTCCCATCCCCACTGGCGTTCCCAGTCTCTCTGCCTCCTAAGTCTTCCTCTGTTGCTCTCTGGGGACCAGCTTGTGCAGCAGTTTTGTATCACTGTAGGGTAGGGCTTCAATGAGCCCTGTCCTGTGTCCTTCCCTGGCTCACTGCGTCTTACCTTCCCTTCCTCGCACAGCCCAGGGCCTGACACCACCTCCTGCAGTTGGTCATTCAGGAGCAGGGCACTCAGGGAAGGAGACGGCTCTGCTTCGAGTATAGCCTGGGCACCATCCACAAACGCCTTGGTGTTTGAACTCACCTGTGCATCCCAGATACAGGTATAGTCTCTCCAAAACAAAGGATGTAGGAAATATTTTTACTTCTCCATCTTTCCAAAGTATCCTTCCCTTAGTATCTCAGCAACCTTCCCCGGAGAGGCTCTTTGGGCTGTGGATGTAGTACCCAGTATCCTGGGCTGCAGATTCATTGATTTTCCAGGCTTTGATTGGGTATAATCATGCTCAGAGCTGAGCAAGGTTGGCAGTGAGTGGGCCACTGACATCAGCTTATTCATGATCTCTCTGTGCTCCGATTCTGACATGAACTTCCTTTTCTGTCTCAGAGGAGAGAGATTTCAGGGCTGTGAGCCTGAGGATGGACCAACACACACGTCAGTTGTGTCTCTGAGGACTAGAGATGGCCAGGACCCAGGACCCCAGCTAGCCTCCGGATGCTGCTGGCTGCTGGGGACCCGTGACCTAAGGCACACCCCTCAAAACATTTTCTTTCATTCCTGTCAATCTCCTGTACTGGTGACTGGGCTGGGACCTCCTGCTGGCCTCCAGGGCCCCACCTGAGCCTCTGGTCCCGGCCTCAGTCAGGCCCAGGCCTAGGGGACCGGCTTCTTGTTTCCTTTCCCGAGAGCGCTCTGGGAGTCCTTACAATAGATTCCAACCCAGGCACTTTTGACAGTGAAAGAAGATTTGTATTATTTTCTTAGGGCTGCCGTAACAAATTGCCACAAACTTCATGGTTTAAAAGAACAGAAATTTATTATCTCACGGTTCTGGAAGTCAGAAGTCCGAAATCACAGTGTCACAGGGCTGTGCTCCCTACTTAGGCTCCAGGCAAGGTTCTTCTTTGCTTTCCTGCTTCCAGTAGCTCCAAGCTTGGCTCGTGGCTCTGATCTCTGCCTCCAGCCTCCCATAGCCTTCTCCTCTGTGTGTGTCTCTCCTTTTCTGTCTCTTACAAGGACTGAGTACTCAAACTTATATCTAACAAAGTACTGGTATCAAAAATGTAAAAATTACTCCTGCAATTCAATAATAAGAAGACAAACAACTTAATTAAAAATGGCAAAGTCAGGATGAACTTACCCGAAGATCCTTAATTTAATTACATCTACAAAGCCGTTTTATCCAAATAAGGTTATAGTCACAGGATCCAGGAGTTTGGACCCAGACCAACCTTTTGTGGGGGCCACAATTCAACCCACTCCAGGATTTTAATAATAACTATTCCATAACAAAAGACAGAACACCATGACTGTCCCTCCATTCGCCTGCATGGCCTCTGAAACCTAAGGACACCTTAGAAGTGGCATCTCCAGCTCGGCGTGGTGGTTCATGCCTGTAATCCCAACACTTTGGGAAGCCGAGGCCGGCAGAGCACTTGAAATCAGGAGTTTGAGACAAGCCTGGGCAACATGGCAAAACCCCGTCTCCACTAAAAATACAAAAATTAGCCAGATGAGGTGGTGCACGCCTGTAATCCCAGCTATGTGGGAGGCTGAGGCAGGAAAATCATTTAAACCTGGGAGGTGGAGGTTGCAGTCAGCCGAGATCGAGCCACTGCACTCCAGCCTGGAAGATAGAGTGAGGTTCTGTCTCAAAAAAAAAAAAGTGTCATCTCCACCACTGGCTCCCTGGGCCACAGACAGGCAGGGAGGAAAAGGACTCAGATCCCTCGTGTGCCTTCCACTGATGGCTTCGCCTCCTCCTCTAACAGGCCTGTGGTCTGATGTTGAGTCCATGTGGCCCCCAGTCTATGCCGGAGGTACTCCCCGGCTAACCCTAGAAGCCAGTTGTATTAGTCCTTTTTCATGCTGCTATGAAGAAACACCCAAGACTGGGTAATTTCTAAAGAAAAGAGGTTTAATAGACTCACAGTTCTTCACAGGGCAGCAGGAGAGAGAATGAGTGTTAGCAGGAGAAATGCTGGGCACTTATAAAGCCATCAGATCTCACGAGACTCACTCACTATCATGAGAACAGCATGGGGGAAACCGCCCCCATTATCCAATTACCTCCATCTATCTAGTCCTAACTTTAACACGTAGGGATTATGGGGATCGTAATTCAAGATGAGGTTTTGGGTGGGGACACAGCCAAATCATATCAACGATGTTATCCTGTCAGAACTCAAGAGAAGGGTGAGGGCTGGGGGAGGGCCGGGGGATGAGCCCATCTGAAGTGGCCAGTGGAAGCAGTTGGCCTTCTGGAGAAGGAGGCAGGAAAGGCTGGGAGGTAGGTGGCCTTGGAGGCCCAGAGGGTAGGGGGAGAACATGGGGGTGGAGTGACAGCTGGACATCCCGAGGTAGAGACTGGAAAAGGAGGCCTAGGGAGTTCCAGATGTACCCACCTTTCTCTTTGTAACTTAATGCTGGTTGCATGACCTGTAGGTAACGTTGCAGGGGACTTGGGGTACAGTATGAGCTCTGTGGTTCCCTGCTTTGAGAAAAGGAATCCTCTTTACAAACTTTCTATGTGATTGTGGTGGGGGTAATAATAAAGAGAGCCCCCCACTGCCCACCACAAGGGCAGTCAGAGGACCCACATTGGCCAGAGTGTGTCACACATTGGATGTGCTTATTAGGTTGGGATCAGCACGTGGACAGCAGGGCCAACTAGGGTCCATTGTTAGGAAACTGAGTGCTGGGAGAGCAGTTGTCTCTCCTTCGGCATGTGCTCTAAGGAGTCTGAGCTTGGACCTGCTGAGCACCATAGCTGTCTCCTGGGGAGACTGTGTCTGAAGCTGGAGCCCAACAGAGCCCTGCAGAGGCCAGAGACGGGGAGGGAAAGTTCAGGACCTTGCTTGGACTCCTGGATCCAACCTCACTTCAAAGTCATGGTCACGGATTTCCCAGTTAGAGAGCTCACCTTGAGAGGTGGGGTCTCTGTCCCATCCCCTGGAATCTAGGTGAGCTCTATGACTTCTCTGACCCATAGAGTGAGGCATATGGTGCTGTGCCCGCTTCTAAGCTCAGGGCTAAGAGGCTGTCAGCTTCCACTTCCTGCCTTTCTGATCCAGATGCCATGCTGTGAGAAGGCCCAAGCCACATGGAGGAGCTGTGCCTAGGCCTGCAGACCACAGCCCTCACTCGGTTCCCAGCTGCCAGCTATGTGAGGAAGCCACTTGGGATGTCCAGCCCTGTCGGGCCTTTGGATGACTCAGACGCCATCTGACTAACCCAGGGAGAGACCCCACACAACAACTGCCTGGCTTAGCCAAGCCAACTCCTTCAACTGTGAAAGATGGTGACAAATTATTGTTTTAAGCCACTAGGTTTTGAGGTTATTATGCATTATTTGAAAATAATTAAAATTATTTCAAAAACTGTTTATTGTGACTGATATGGATGCCTAAGGTCCTTGCATAAATGTGTCCTCACTTGATTTAGATGCCAAAATAGGAATCTGCACCTTGAATCTCATCATGAGCTCCATGAAGCTTTGGGTAGCCTCAAGAATTCTAGAGTGCAGGGGCTTAAATTCAAATAACTCTGGCAGAACACTGATGGCCTCCCTCCTCTGGCTGTATCATGCACAGCCTGCTTCAGCTAAGGGGACAGAAGGAGGGAGCCAGCATTTCTCTGAGAACCAATTATAAACACCTTGGGGGAACTCTCATGATCAGTAAGATGCTTTCTGAGCATTGCTTTATGCATATGCTAAGAAGCTGGGGCAAGAGTAGCTTTTTTTGTAATAGTACATTTTACGTAAATTTTTACTGAAGTGAACAGACATATACAAAAATATACAAATTATAATTATATGGTTCGATTAATCTTTGCCAAGGGAACCATGTCACCCGCACTCAGATTCAATAATTGAACATTGTAAGCACCCAAGAAACTGACTTGCACCCTGTGTTGATCATGCCCCCCCAACAGTGATAGTCACCTCATTCTCCAGAGGCCTTAGGCATTGCCTCAGGATCATGGTGGAAGCTTCTCTGGGTGGGGCTGCTTGGGGACCAGCCATCCTGCAGTGGGCCCATGATAAGCACCTGTGGCGCCACACCCCTGGCTAGCAGGCCTGCTGGGAACACCTGTAGGAAGACCTTGGCAGGATCATTGGCCCTTGAGTCAGCTGCTTGCTCAACTTCATGATCAGAGATAAAGGTGAATGCAAGTACTGTGGCCATGCCATGCTTAGGACTCGAGAATGGTGCAGCCTCTCTGTAGGCCAGGGAAGGACCACTAATATGGCTCCCAGCCAAGGGCCTCAGGGATTCTGAATGGCACAGTCTCTGCAGAACTTGCACTGTGTGGCTTCAGGTCTTCCAGGACAGCTAAAATGTGTGGGCCTTGAGGGTGCCTTTGGGTGCTCATAGCCTCATTAGGGAGATGAAGAGGTGAGCAGATGTCACATATGTCAAGACAGTGGAAGCATTAAGAAAGGGGAAAGGATGGGGAGGATATCACCCCAAAGGTATGGGAAAGGACCTGGTATGTCTGGAAAGTGAAGAAGGCCAGTGTGGCTGGAACAAAAGGCACCTGGCCAGAGAGCTGGGAGATGAGGGCAGACAAGGAGGAAGGGGCTTTCTAGGCAAGGCTGAAGCCTGGATTTACCCAGAAGGCAATGAAGAGCCACCAGACACTTTAGGGGGCCCATGGTGTTGTAAAATGAAGCATTTGGGCTTTGTCCCAGGTTCCTGGAAGGGAGCTTGGCATTTTCAGGGTGGCAGGAGTGTCTTTGCTATTCATCGTGGGTCCCTGGGGCCACACCGGAGTTTATGCTGACCAGGTGCTTCAAGGTGGGACTCCATAGCTTCAGGATGCAGGCTGGCCAACCATGGCAAGACCAGCCATGTGAATAAAGGGTCAGGACTTTGAGCCACATGATATCAGCCTGACCTCTGGGGAGAGAGTGGGTATTGGAATTGAGTACAAAGGTGTAAGCAATGATTTCATCAATCATGCCTAGGTAACAAACCCCAATAAAAACTCTGGACATTGTAGCTCAGTGCAGCCACCCTGGTTGGTAATCATATAACCGTGTTCTGGGAGGCTTCACATTTGGGAATCTCCCCAAACCTCTCCCTGTGCATCTTTTCATTTAGCTTGTCCTGATTTGTACCAATCAATAAAACTGGAATTGTAAGTGCAGAGGTTGGTGAGTCATTCTAATGAATTATTTATTCAACTTGAAGCCCTGAGTGGGAGCCTCTATCTTGGTAGCCAGTGATTGGAAGTGTGGGTGCACTGGGAATGCAGCTGGCATCCTGCAGGGCCCTAAGTCTGTGGCATCTGTGCTAACATCAGGTGGTTACTGTCAAGACTTTCTTCACTCAGTCAGGTCTGTGCTTCAGGTGCACTGCTCTGTGGAGTGGGGAGGGGGCCTGGAGTGCATTTCTGCTCATGGGGCTCATGATTTGAACTCAGGCCTAATATGTTAATGAGCAGACACCTGGCCAAGCCCTGGGGGCCTCAAAAAACCAAGACAGGGGAAGCATCAAGAATGTGATGAGAGAGTACGCGGCCATGGGAGTGTCACCTTTGCCTTCTCTTCTCCCTGTGGCTGGAAAGGCTGGCCTGTCTGGCTGCCCAAGGATAGATGGGGAGAGGTTTAATTGAATCACCTACTGTGTTGGGTAAAGTAAACTGTCGTCATTGCAAATATAATCAGGACTGTATTTTAACAGTAGAAAATGTGATTATAATGACATATTTATCAGCTCCTTTCACCTGGGTGGATCTGAGGACATTTCAGAAAACAAGTGATTGGAATTGCTTGGCCTACCTCACACACTTACACACACACACTCTCACACACTCACAGAGACACACACTTATAAGCACACACAGTCCTGTGCATGCACACAAGTGTATACACACCCACGCACATTTCCACATGCATGTGTGTGCACACTCACATACACAAACACACAGAGACACACCCTTACAGGGCATCTGGTGCTCTGGCCTGCTCTGACACGCAGCCCCTCCTGGGAGTGGGCAGTAAGCATTGGGGGGACATGTAGGTAGTCCCTGGGGAAGCTGGAAGGCTGACCACCTGGCGAGCAGCAGGGCGCACTCACTGGAGCCCCTGCCTGGATGAGCTGGCTTTGCTCAGCTCCAGCTGTGGTTCCCTCTGTAGACTGTGGGATCAGAAAGCCCTCATCACATGATGTAACTCTCACAAGGCTGCAATCTACTTCCCTGTCCAGGTCCCAGAGGCTCCAGGCTCTTTGTGGAGTCACCTGCTTGGGCAGCCACGGTTCTGTGGAGCTGCTTGTCAGAGAGTGCGCAGGCTCTGGAGTCAGTCAGACCTGGGTTTGACTGCTGACTCCATCTCTTACCTGCTGTGTGGCCATGAGCAAATGCCTATTCTCACTGGGACTCAGTTTCCTCATCTACAAAGTGAAACGTGTTCATACTTCCCTTATGGTCAGTGAGGATGGAATGGGATAACATTCTGCACCCCGCCTGGCACCACAGGCATATGAGGTATTCGATAAGTGAATGATTGTGCCAGACAAGAAAGCTGCCTGCCCTCCTCCTCCTCGGCCCTGTGCAGGGACTGGGGTGGATGAGAAAGCCCGTGTTTCCTGAACACCTGTTTGCACCAGGCACCTATTTGGCTGCTGCCTGGATGTCCTTCTCAGGTTCCAGCTCAGGTCTCTTGGACCAGTCCCCTGGTCTGGGGTAGGGATGCCTGGAACGGCTCTAGCGGCAAGGCCATATCTCGCCAGGCTGCCAGGATGAGCTGAGCATTGTGTCCACGGTGGGTGTCTGAAGGAAATAATGTATACAGTGGTCCATTTCCAAGACCAAGTGCCTTGAATCGGCTTAGGTCAGCAAACTATAGAAGCAACAGGACATACTAGGCCCCTGCTTGGATAGCTGCTGCCTGCTTGTCGGCCTCCCCCTTCTTCCCTCTTCCCCACCCCCTTAGTTGCCCTCACCCGAACCAAAGAAGTTTAGATAAAAGTTTATTAGTCTGCAAGATAGCTTGATTTGTCTCTTCTTGTCAGCCTGCCTAGCTACTTAGGTCATAAGTCAAACACTTGAAGAGCCCCTGAGCTGACTAGGATTGCAATGCATTGTGAGCTGCAACAAAATGCAGCAAGACAACCCTAAAAAAAAACACCTAAAGCCCCTACCTAACAATCAATAGGCAACATCCGGGAAAATTGTGACCCCATAGTACTCAGTCTATGAGCAACTGGGGGAGGGACCCGTACTCTAGGGATAAACTGCTTGTCGAAACTGCTGGGTGTGCTTGTCCATCAGACACCCGATCTTGCAAGTTCATCATTAAAAGTTTCACTTTCGCTGTTCTCTGGGTATCTGAGTCCATTCTTTGGGTTTGGACGGGTAAGTTTGTTTCTCACATGTACAAGCCAGAGGTCCATGAGTGAGAATCGGGGGCCAAGGAGCTTTGTCCATGGGGCCGTAATGGGATGAGAGGGCAGAGGTTATCAAACTCTGAGGGCTGGAGGAAGACATGGTTTCTACCTCTTATCTCATTTCCTACTCATTTAGCCTTCGGAGGCAGGCACTGCCGCTATCCCACCGAGGAGGAGTCTGACACTGTGGGCGGTGAAGGCCACAGTTACCCGGTGAGTAGCTGGGCTGGACTCCACCCTTGCTCCCTCCTACAATCAACCTCCTGCTCCTCCCAACAACTTTCCTGAAAGGAGGCAGTGACCACTGTGCCCTTGCAGCCTCCCCGGCAACCGACTTCTGAATCATCCCACTGCAGAGATCTCATTACCGCAGTGAGTGTGGCTCCAGCCTCCCCTCCCTTGGCTGCTAATGAGCGCCCTAATTTGATTGCCTCCAAATGAGTGTGATGCAAAATTAAAAGATGCCAGAAGACATGACCATAAATCCAGTGAGTTGGCTTCAATTTATTATGTTTGAATTCAATTAGATTTCTCCTCCGATGTTTTCCGAATATTTATCTAGCTGCCGGCTACAGAACGATAACTGGAAGGGGCTATTACTGTTTAATTCCAGCCTCCTCCATTCAGCTTGGGCTCTGGCAATACCGTTGGATGGAAAATCTCAGCCTGGATGTGGGGAGGTCAAGGGAGTTCAAGGTCAGCTGCTGAGCCTTCTGCCAGCCAGCCAGCATATTTCCTGTTGGGGAAGGGATTCAAAGCAATATACCCTATTAAAATGTTTTAAAAATGATTTTTAGTGCATAAACACTACAAGGGACTCCACAGAAGGGAGTGTTGGTGTCAAGGCCTTTGTTGTGTCACAGGCAGCAGGGGGGATGGGGATCTGGGGTCTGGGCTCAGCCTGGCCACGAACTTTGTGTGACTTGGGAAAATCACTAACCTTTTCCAGCCTTGGCTTCTCCATTTGCAAAACGACGGAGTTGGACTCTGGGAACTGTTTTCAGTGGCCCTGGATTCTGCACTGCTACTCTCCTTTTAGTTTCAGGGTGTTTGCCCACTCTCCTTCCCCACCCCCACAGCCATGTGTCCTGCTTGACCCTGGGAACCTGACGTCTTTAAGCTGCCTCTCAGGCTTTCTTACTGACTGGGCAGAGGTTGGAATTAGCCAGTGGGAGACTCTAGCTGGAAGGCAAAAGTATAGGAAGAGAGAGAGTGGTCAGTGTATCCCCCCACCCCGTCCCCACTGCCCCTCCCCAAGGCTGTGTCTCTCCAAGACATCAGCTCCTGCTGGAAACCCCTTCTCCACATCTCTAGCTCTTACTGGCTGTGGCAACACTATTCCTCTCTGTCTAGCCCCATGAGTAACAGCATCCTAGAGTTGTTTGTTTTCGTGCTTCTCAACATCCCTGTTCATCCTCTTCACCTGGCCACACTTCTGTAAGGACTACTGCCATTAAAGTCTCATCATTTGAAGCATTCAATGCCATTTCTTGCCATGACCCTGAACAATGCAGATACTAAATCCATTTTTCGACTGTGGTTTTCCATGGAGGGCTCCCCAGGTCTAGAGGGGAGCTGAGACAAAAGCATTCCCGGCTTGGGAGCCTGTTGTGCAGTTGGGGAGGTCCCAGAGCACCAAGGCCAAGCTGGGGAGACGTTGTCCCTACGGGCATGGCCAGGCCTCCGGCCTCAGGGAGGAGAGGGAGACGGTGATCATGGAGGGGAGGCCCTGGGAGTGAGAAGCTGGGGGAATTGTTCCACCCTGCCCCTCCCCCCAACCTCCAGAGAGCGAAAGACGATGGGATGTGGGAGGAGGGCAAAGGGGAAGAGGAAGAGGCTCCCTGTCCTGCTGGGTCCTTAGCCAAGTTGGAAGTGGGAGAGTGAGAAGCCCCCATCTAGGGCAAAGGAGTATGCCCCCAGGGGAGGAGAGAAAGGCTGATGACACAGAGGGTTCATTTGCTCTGAAATGGGCCTCCCAGTGGAACAGTGACGAAGAGGCAGAGTCAGCCGTGGCGGAAGAGCAGGAAGGAGAGGAGTCCCAGAGCAGGATGGAGGGAGCATCAGGGAGATGGGTGGATGGCCAGGGCTGGCCTATGGGGCGATGACCAAAGGTTGCAGGGGTGGGTTCAGGAATGAGACCAATGAAGTCTCCTGATTTATGGCTTCCAGCTTTGGTGTAAGTCAATGACCCGAATCCCTGGAGAAGGGTGGGGAATCTGACTCTGAATATGTGGCCCAGGAGCCCTGCATGAAGGAGCTGGGGCCTGAAGAGTAACTCTGCATTGAGTACTAGGCCTCCAAATCAGATCCTGGCCAGCTGCTGTCTCTGATGGCTCCCAGTCCTCCCCTCAGACCCACGGCTGTAGGCCAGACTGGCAGGGGCAAGAGGCAGGAGCCAAGTGGGACATGTCCAGTGTCCTGGCCAAACATACACTGGACGCAGATGAGCCATATGCCTGGGAAACAGAGAAATGGGGTGAGGCCAGGTCTTCTTGTGAGAATGAATGTGCCTTACTCTCTCCTGGAGAGAGGGTGATGACAAGAGTTCAATCATTCATTCATAATTGCTTTTTGATTTAAGCAGGCGAGTTTGTTGTTTAACAGGCTGGGAACATCTCTCTTTTATTGAAACATGTGACATAGCAGGTTAAACTCCTAAAGATTCAGCACAGCAGATGAGAATCAAGGAGTTTCCTTCTTAAAAAGCATAACTTGCATATGAATGAAGATGATTCCAAATTATGTTTTTTCCCCATGACCCTAAAATTTTATCCCAAATGGAGTTATCATATTAGATATTGATCAGATCAGCATTTCATATCAAAGCTCAGGACATCCATCTAAATATTTAAAAATCTTTCACTCTCACAGCACATCTTGTGATCAATGTAAAACAAACAGATAGGAACAAATCAAATATGAGAGAAGGGTTTATGGTGAGAGAAAACAGTTTCTATCCTCTCCCCTCCCCAGTCCTGGCCTCACTCTCCAGAGGCAACTTCTTGTAAACATTTCCATTTTTAGTACTTCTGGTGGGCGCCTCCACAATGCTTAGTAGCATGTATAGGCACCCTTATTTTTTTATTCATCTGGAGAAAATTTATCTACCTCCTGTGACGGAACATAAGAAATGGCCTCATTATGCACCTCTGCTTCCTCCCTTCATCCTTCCAAAGTTTTATCATTTTGGCATAATTATTTTTAGTTTTCTGTTATTTACTTTTAAAACTTTAAACCATATAATTGTACTTTGATTCTGCATTCCATCCACCTCAGGGAGAGTAACGGTCTGGGGCGGTCAGGTTGGGTCTGTTCCCATACCCTCCCCTTCTTCTGAAAGGACTCTCCCCTCCCTCCCGGGGGCCTGTGCCCATGACCAGCCAGTCACAGGGCCAGGCATATGTCCTGGGCCCTGGCCACTGTGGGATACAGGCATGCTCCCCAATCTTGACCACTAGGAATCCTGCAGGACTTTCACTACTAAAACTGCTCTCTTCAGGTCACAACAGTAACTATCAGTTCAACTACAACAAAGGTTTCTGAAGACAATGGCTTCTCCACCCAAGCAGGTTGTATATAAATTCCAAATAGAACTTGGCATCACCCTGAAGGAATTCTAACTTCACACTGTTGGGGAAATTTACCAAGATAGCTTCAGAGTAAACTAACTTTACACAGCACATTAAAACAAAAGACATTTATTCAGCGTCATGATCAGACTATTACATTTAGCAATCAACAGCATGGGTGCAAAAAAAAAACCTATATTAAAACCCTTAGCTGGAATGCTTTACACTTCCCACAGAACAGAAACTAAAATAACCTGTTATACAGTTAGTCACAAATACAGTCCTCGAGATTTTTGCCCATACACATGAGTATTTGTCTAAAACATGTCTTCTTTGTAGCAGCTAGGCCCTGCCACCACTGTGCTTGGCTGAGTTCACAAATCTGTCGTAACCTGTAGATTCCCTGTCATTTCTCTGGCTCTCCTCTCCTGCTAAGCTTTGTTTCCTAATTAAAATCTGCCACTGCCATAGCTACTGCTGCTGCTGGAACTGCCAATAGCCACCTTGGTTTCATGGTTTTGCAAAGTATAGGCCTCCATTGCCACAGGGGCCAGAGCTTCTGCCTCCAAAATTTCCTCCCTTCATGGGTCCAAAATTTGAAGACTCATTGTTGTAATTGCCAAAATCATTGTAGCTTCCACCACCTCCAAAATTGCTTCCATCATTACCAAATCCATTACAGCCATCCCCACTGCCACCATATCCACCACCACCACGACTGCCACCAAAGCCACCAAGACCACTGAAGTTTCCTCCAATACCAAAGTTGTCATTCCCACTGAAACCACCTCCACGACCACCACCAAAGTTTCCAGAACCACTTCGACCTCTTTGGCTGGATGAAGCACTAGCCATCTCTTGCTTTGACAGGGCTTTCCTAACTTCACAGTTGTGGTCATTCACAGTATGGTATTTCTGAATGACAATCTTATCAACGGAGTCATGGTCATCAAAAGTTACAAAGGCAAAGCCCCTTTTCTAGCCACTGACTCGGTCAGTCATGATTTCAGTCACCATTAAAAGGGATTACCCAAGCAAAATCATGGAATTATTGGTTATAAAAGTAATTGTTGGCACATCCTATGTAACATATCTAATTGAATAATGGTACCAGATTAAATTATAGATGGGAATGAAGCTTGTGTATCATCCATTATCATGTGTAATCAATAAACAATTTAATTCTCTTGAAAAAAATAAATAAAACTGCTCTCTTTTGTTCTGGGATTACCTCTAGGAAGGAAATGTAAAATCAGCTCTTGTAGGGTGCCTCCAGGCCCCTGACACGTGGAAAGATCGTGCAGGAGAAAACCAACCCAGAGGTCAGTGGAGGTGGAGAGGAAGTTGTGAGAGAGATCAAGCTGTGGTGGTGAGAAAGGCAGCTGGTCCTGCTCACTGAAGCCTCCATTGCTTCCGGACTGTCACAGTTACACCGACCTGACAATTTCAGTATTAGCATTAGAGAATTGTTTCAGCTTTCCAACTAACGCAGGGTGTATTGTACTCCCCACCTCAGGTAAGATGAGAATTAGCACGTAGGCTGCCTGTGCTAGTTTTCTGTTGCTGCTGTAACAAATTTCCACAAATTTATGATTTGCTTAGAGCACCACAAATCTTACAGTTCTGGAGGCCAGAAGTCCAGCATGGGCCTCACGGGGCTAAAATCAGTGTCACAGGGCAGCTGTGTTCCCATGAGGCGGCTGTGTTCCCATAAGGCTCCGGGTGGAGACTGTTTCCTTGCCTTTTCCAGCTTCTAGAAGCTGATGGAGTTCCTTGGCCAGCCACTTTCTCCCTCCATTGTCACAGCAGGTGTGGCTTCACTCTGACCTCTTCTGCTTCTCCCTTCCACCGAAGGGCCCCTGTGGTTACACTGGGTACACCTGGGGGCTTAGCCTGTCTAATATTGCCACACCCTCTTGTGAATCTTCTTTTTTCTTTTCTAAGAGATGGGGTCTCGCTTTGTTGCCTAGGCTGGAGTAGGGTGGTGTGACGGTAACTCACTGCAGGCTTCAATTCCTGTCCTCAAGCGATCCTCCTGCCTCAGCCTCCCAAAGTGCTGGGATTACAGGTGGGAGCCACAGTGCTAGGCCTCTCATGAACCTTGTCTTCCAGAAATGTGTTGGACTCTCATCCATTAGTAAGCCATCTTTCTCTCTTTTTTAATGCTTTTCCCTTATAGATTTACTTCATTTTAAATTTATAAGCTTAAATTTCAGTGATGATGTCTTAGGAAGAACAGGAGAGGAGGAACAAAGGAACAAACTTCTTTAATGGGAAGCTGAAAGGACCCTTTTAAAAGTGTGCAGTGGAGAGATCCTGGGCTTGGTCTCTGGTAAACCTGGTGAATGGTGGGTTAACACTCCCTCCCTCACTCGGTGTTGCTGGGAGGATAAGACAGAACATGTGGCGAGCAGGTGTCCAATAGCTGCCTCTTGCTATGTGCAGCCAGTGCCACATCCAGGCTGAGTGCTGTGGGGAGTGTGGCTCATCCCACTGGGGCCACCCCAGGCCTCGCTCACTGGAGACTCCAGAATCAGGGCTGACTGAGCAGCTTGTGGCACTGAAGAATGTTCTAGGAAAGGAGGTGTGTCCTCCTTGGAAGGGGAAGCTTCATGGTGGGTGAGCTGAGGGTAAGGGGTGGGTGAGGGCCATTTGAAGAGTCACCTCCCCTACATTCTTTTATCTTTTGGAGCCTCCATCCACGCCACTTCAAACAATGAACACACACATCCAAGTCAGTAAGTGCACTTTGTGTATATCTATATAAGTGATGCGCAATTACTGTATAACAGTTCACTAGCTGACCTGACATTATTCACATATCGTAGGCATGTGACTAATTGTAGGTGTGTAATGAAGTGTTCACATCTTATTACATATTTAATTCCTAAGGCATTTCTACAGTTTTATTTGAGAATTTTGGAACTGCCAGTGTGTTTTTCATTTTTCAAACCTTTTCACAGGCCCTGAAAAAACCCAAAGGCCTTATATTCTGGGACCGTAATGGACAAAACAGCCCTGGGAAGTATGCTTGGGAGGATGGCGAAGGCTGGGTTTGCTGAGGGAGGTGCCAGCTAAGGTGCTGGGCACACCAGAGGCAAGGGATCTGGACCACAACTGTCAGTTTGATGAACACACTAATGGTGGAGTGACCCCCACCAGGAGTGGCCAGCAAGCAGGGTCCAACAGGAAAGACATCTGGGAGGCCAGCAGGTGGAATCCTGGCTCTGCCACCTTCGTGCTATGTGATATCAGCCAAGTTACTTGCCCTCTCTGATTCTCAAATGCTCGGAGGCCCTTTGACCTCTAGAGTCTATGGGACCTGAGTGACCACAGGGCTCTGGTTTGTTGGTGGCTGCCTCTTTATTTAACTCCTTTTCTCAAATACGGTCTATGGGCTTTGCTTAAAGTGAGGTGTCCTGTGCACACTCTTCTCCATGACTTTGAGGCCGTGAGAAGGCCCGCCCTGCAGAAGGACTGAGGAAACTAGTGCTGGAGTCTCCTTTCTTGTATCAGTGAAGGAAGGGGAGAGAGGAGATAAAGTGCTCAGGTTACAGAATGTGAGGATCGTGCCCCTTTTTTCCAACTGAAGACATTCCTAGGCGTTTTATCTCCCCTGTTGCAACTCCTAAATCACAAAAACCTTATGCATCCAGTTTGGCTGACATCCACCTGCAATGGGAATGAGTGAGATTGAGCCACTCCTCAGGTGAATGGAAAATTAAGGCCAACCAAGGCCCACCCCATGCCCCACTGTGGGGTCTAAAAGGAGCAGGCACTGGCCTGCTTTCTTTTTCCCTAAAGAAAGCTCTTTGGGGACCCAGCAGAAACAGCAGAGGTGGGGATGCGAGCTTCCGCCTGCATTTGTTCCAGGGTGGGCCAGTGAGGATTTGGGAGGAATGGTGTGGAAAGGCCCTGCCCAAGAAGGCTGGATGCTGGCTGGGGAATGCCCAGGGTGCCAGCTCCCTACCCTGGGGAAAGGCCAGGCTGGCATATGCCGGAGCCAGGGTCCAAGGTCACAGAGAGGCCACACCTGGGCACCCCTCCCAGCAAGGGAAGGTCCAAGCTGGGAATTACTTCTCTTTGGAAAGTGAGGGGAGTGGTACAGAAATATTGCTATTGTTGCTGTTGTCCTGTCACTTCTGGCATTGGAAATGGTGTTGAGCTTCTACGTGACGGGCATTGGAGGTCAAACCTGAAACAGGTGAGGCCCATCCCTTTACTAGGCTCACGTTCTAGGTAGGGAGGAGGCAGGTACCTCCTCCACCTAAGAAACAACAAGAGATAGAGAATGCAGTAACTGTCCTAAAGAGAAAAACCAGGGGATGGAGAGAGAATAATGGTTGTCAGGACGGGTCAGACTTTAGGATGGTAAATGAGGAGTGGTCTCTGAGAAGGGATGAGGCAGAGGAAGTGAGGCTCAGGGAAGTGAAGCACTTGCCCAAGGCAGCCTGCTGGTCATGGCAGAGCTGGCAAGCTCATTCCTTCCTCATTATGTCAACCTTCTGGGACCAGAGTCTGGGCAGGGCAGAAACTACTGCACCAGGGGTGCGTGGCTCCAGCAGAGAGAGACAAAGTGCCCCATGCAATCCAGAAACTGAGCCCTCTGGGCTCAATCTTCAAAGGAATGACTCTCAGAGTTGTGTCCCCTGCCTTTTCTTCACCATGGAACTTTTCCCAGCTCCACTCTGGTGGGCTTGGGGACAGGACCTGCCCTCTGCAAAGTGATGACCAAGGATAAGTCGGATCTTCAAGGAGACCTTGGAGAACACCACCCTCTTATTGTGCAAAAGAGGAAACAGGTCCAGAGAGGGTGAGCCATTTTTTCAGCATCACACAGCTGACCTGGAGCAGAGTTTCCTAAAAGCTCCCTCGGTGCTCTTTCCCCTGCTGTGGCTAGACCCCTCCACAGGAACTTAACAGGAACCCAAAGGAACGAGTCACTCATGGCAGAATCACTAATGTGATGGAGGGCAGGAGTGAGAGACGGCATAATGTCAATGCTGGCACACTCCTGGCACACGGGAAGCTGTCCATGAGTGGTTGCTTCCCACCACTTCCATCGCCCAGTTTGGGACATGTCTGAGATCCAGTGCTGAGCCCAGGGTCTAGCATGTCATGGGAGCTCAGGAGTTCCTAATTGACTACATGAATGCTAAGGTGTGGGATGTGCTCCTTCCTGCTTTCTCATTCTCAAAGAACACTCTTATACACCTGGTTGTGGGGAGGGTATATAGGCAATCAACTTTTGCGTACTCACTTCCATTGTAGGATCATGCATGCATGTGGACGTGCACACACACACAAACACAAATGCACACACACACACACACACCTGCCTTCTCAAACTTGTGGGACCAGAAAGGATGCTGCAAGGCCTAAGATAATAATTGCTGGTCTCTTTTTTCTTATGCTTTAGCAGGAAAAACACACTCTTCCAAGCACACAGCTGCAGAGGTCTTCCTGAGCATCATGTAGTCTTTAATCATGTTGTGGAGGACAGGATGATCTGTGCCTCAGGAATCAGCTTAGTTGATAACTCAATTCCATGGCTGGGCCCCATTTGTAAGCAGTCATGGCACATCCCATGGAAACCTATAATCTAATTATGGCTGCTGCATCAGTCCTCATCCTTCATGCTGTCATCCACAGCTCCTCACCACCCATCTTACTTGGATGAAGGCTCTC
Organism: Homo sapiens; assembly: GCF_000001405.40. Classification (NCBI taxonomy): domain Eukaryota; kingdom Metazoa; phylum Chordata; class Mammalia; order Primates; family Hominidae; genus Homo; species Homo sapiens. The sequence goes on from NC_000010.11 coordinate 47,973,479, forward strand.
TGAGGTATGAAGGGCAAACATCTGATCCTTCCACTGGAGGCCTAGGCTGCTTTCCTTATTCTCACAGCAGCCACAAGTATTGGGATCACAGCTTGAAAGGCTCTTCTTGGTCCGTGGGACTGAGGCAGTCAGGACAATTTCAGGCCTTTAGTGAATGGAGGCATTTCATTACTTCAGATCTCACCTAGTCTTGGAGGTCTTGGGCATTTTTAGAACTCACCCAGCCAGGCTGCCACTCAGGGTGAGGCTACCTGGATTGTTTATTGGTAACGAATGTTTGAATCAGAGACCGTTAGAAAACCAAAAATGAAGATTTTAACAATACAAAAAGCAGAACCTAAAGAGGTTTAATCAGTAGGATTGGTACCAGTTCTTTGTATGTCTGATAGAATTTAGCTGTGAATCCATCTAGTCCAGGGCTTTTTGTTGTTGTCGTTGGTAGGTTTTTTATTATTGGTTTAATTTCAGAGCTTGATATTGGTCTAGTCAGGGTATCAGTCTCTTCCTGATTCAATCTTGGGAGATTGTATGTTCCCAGGAATTTATCCATTTCCTCTAGATTTTCTAATTTGTGTGCATAGAATTACTCACAGTATTTTCTGAGGATCTTTTGTATTTCTGCATGTATCAGTATGCCATACTGTTCAAGCACATGGACTTTGCAGTTGGACATTCCTGAGTACAAATTCTGCTTCTGGCAGAGCATTTAGGTGACTTAGTCTGCTGACTAAGCTGCAGTATCTTCATCTGCAAATGAAGATGAATTGTAATATCTTTGTCATTTCTGACAGTACTTATTTGGAAATTCTTTTTTCTTTGTTAATCTAGCTAGTGGTCTCTCAGTCTTGTTTATTTTTTTGAAAATCAACTTTTGGTTTCATTTATCTTTTGTATGGATTTTTGCATCTCAATTTCATTAAGTTCTTCTTTAATTTTAGTTATTTATTTTCTTCTGCTAGCTTTGGGGTTGGTTTGCTCTTTTTCTCTAGTTCTTCTAGGTGCAAACTTAGACTGTTAATTTGAGATTGTTTTAACTTCTTGGTGAAGGCATTTAACGTTATAAACTTTCCTCTTAACACTGCTTTGGCTGTATCCCAGAGACTTTGTTAAGTTGTATCTCCATTTTCATTACTTTCAAAGATTTTTTTATTTCTGCCTTAATTTTGATTTTCACCTAGGAGTTAATCAGGAAAAAGTTGTTTAATATCCATGTATTTGTGTAGTTTTGAGAGATCTTCTTGATATTAGTTTCTATTTTTATCGCACTGTGGTCCAAGAGTGTGTTTGGTATAATTTCAATTTTTTAAAATTTATTGAGACTTGCTTTATGACTCAGCATATGGTTGATCTGAGAATATGTTCTGTGTACAGATAGGAAGAATGTATATTCTGTGGTTGTTGGGTGGAGTGAATGTCTATGAGGCCCTTGTAGATAAAATAATAGCTGAAATTAGAAAAAGAGGTTTAACCAGCTTTACTCATTTAAAATGCAAATGTGCTATTAGATAAGGGCCACATCACTTGGCATCAGGCCATAAGACAAGATGTGTCTGGATTATCCTGGGATTAATACTCATTTCCAAACTTCTAGGACTATTGAGAGTTGTTTTTTTTTTCTAGAAATCTCTGATGGACTACATTTGTTCCATAGTTCAGCCTCATCATCTTATGAACTATTTAGATAAGGGATAGAAAGTATCTTTTGAATTCATGTCAGCACCAATAGATTGGTGGTGGCTGCTTTAAAAACTGGGCCTAGAAGGATTCTGAATTCTTAACTGGGCTTAGAGCGAAAGAATGCCATGTTCAAAGAAGAAAGTTATCAATGGCTGCAGGAGGGGTGAGGTGGCCCATGTGTCACATGACTTGCTATCTTTGCACTGGGCAACCCTAACCTCTGAGAGGGTCCTTGTTGAATAAGATAAGTAGGTCCAGCCCTCAAGTTGTTATCAGTATAGCAGAGATGGTGAGCCACGAAGTGCTGCCAGATCACTGTATTGTGTTCTGGTCATGGCAGGTGCATGTATCAGTATGCCATACTGTTCAAGCACATGGACTTTGCAGTTGGCCATTCCTGAGTACAAATTCCGCTTCTGACAGAGCATTTAGGTGACTTAGTCTGCTGACTAAGCTGCAGTATCTTCATCTGCAAATGAAGATAATACCCACCTCACAGGGTAGCTGGGGTCATTAAATGATATCAGATTTCAAAGCATTAGATGCTCACCTTGTAGTAATCATTATTACTATAATTACTGTTGGTGTGGAAACACAGACACGCCTCTAAACTGTCCTGGGTACAGAGAAGGCTCTACAGACAGGCCCTGTTTTAAATTGCAAGTGATACTCAGGCAGTCTTCAGTAAACAAAGGCAGAGGCCATTCAGTGCAGGGGAGGACATTCTGTCCCCTGGTTAGGAAACCTGAACTATGGAATAGAAAAAAACTTAGACTCAATATTCAGAACAACTTTCCTGAAATAAAGGAAGACTTGAATTTTCTGACTGAAGGGTAAATTGATTTAGAGAAGTCAATGCTGAGATGACAGATCCTAACAAAATGAATGTTTGCCTTCAAAGAAAAGAATCCTAGGAGTATCCAGTAGAAAACCATCTCTCCAAAAACCAATCAAGACAACAACAAAAATAAAAACAACTACCCCAAACAATCACATGAAAACTCAAACCAAGAGAAACACTTGCAGAATGTCAGAATAAGGACTTCTGAAAATCCTTCCTTAACAACAATGAGAGCACTGGCAAAAATGTCAAAATTAACATTTTCAGAGTCCTGGAAATTAACCAAAGGCTTTCAGCAATCCAAGTTAGATTTATTCAAGAAACACAGCTGAATCTCAGTAAGAATAGCAAATTTTGTGGTGTTTTAATTTGCCTTATTCGTAGTCTTCTTTTCCAAGCTCTATGATAGACTTGAACATAAATGTTCTCAGCTAGGCATGGTGGCTCACTCCTATAATCCTAGCACTTTGGGAGGCTGAGATGGGAGGATTGCTTAAGTCCATGAGTTTGAGACCAGTCTGGACAACACAGAGACAACCTCTGTCTTTACACACACACACACACACACACACACACAATTAACATTCTCACAACCATGACAGCTGTGAAAACCAGCAGCCTGGTAGCCACTGGGGAGGACAGAATAGGTTTAGAGCTCTCCAAAAATCCCATCCTCAGAAAGTTGTTACTATTTGATCTGTCTGACAGCTCCCTGGAAAAGGCACATTCCCAGGGATTGTCTTTGCTTAACATGGTTTGGAGCTTAGTCTGTGTGAACAGCCCTATCCTGAGGGAATCTGTCAAAAACAATCAGCAAAAATTGTTTGACATTGCAACTGCCTGAGATGGCAGTACCAGTTGGGGCTAATAAGAGGCTGACCAAAACAGTTACAAGGAAAAACTGGGGAATGAGGTATTCATAGAGGCTTTGGAAAAACTCTGACATATTCTTAAGAACCTAGAAGGCCATGTGCACGTGCAGGGTTGTACACATGTCCAAGACAGATCTAACTAGAGCTTAACTTTTGTTTGGCTTTGAGGCTCTGTGCAAGCAGGAAGTAAACTCTGAGGCAGAGTTGTCAGCTGCTTGCTGAAGCATCGAAGGCATGGCTCAACACAAACAAAGCTTCCCAGCAAAGGTAGGTAGATTTAGTTGTGCAAGGAATGTAAAGAAATCTCTGTCCAAAAATTAATGGACAACTAAACTGAGGAAAGACTTCGGTGGCTACACATGACAAAAAGTATACATTAAAACTTAGTCCAGGAAATTCACGAAACAGAGAAACAGCAGCATCGGCAACAACAACAAACAGAAGCAACAACAAATTGTGAAGAGGGGTGAGGTCTGATTTTTGGAGATGCCACATTATTTTATTTAAAACATTCAGTTTTTAAGAAAAAAATATGAGAAATACAAAGAAACAAAATGTGTGACCTATTCACAGGGAAAAAGCTGCCATTAGAAACTTTTTCTTGAGGAAGCCCAGACATTGGACTTACTATCAAAGATTTTAGAACACGTCTTAAAAACATGTTTAAACAACTAAAGGAAAACATGTTTAAAGAATGTTAAAAAGCATGACAATGATGTCTTACCAAATACAGCATATCAATAAAGAGATAGAAAATTATATAAAAAAGGGAAAAAAATAAAATTCTGGGTTGAAAGTGCAACTGAAATAAAAAATTATTAACCAGAGGGGCTTAACAGCCAATTTGAGCAGGCAGAAAAAAGATTCAGTAAGTTGAATATGGGTCAATTGAGATTATACAATCCAGGGAACAGAAAGTCAAAAGAATGAAGAAAAATGAACAGAGCCTCAGAGAGCATACCAATATGTATATAATGAGAATCCCAAAAGAAGAGGAGATAAAGGGGCAGAAAGAATATTTGAAGAAATAATTGCCATAAACTTCCCAAATTTGATGAAGAACATTAATTTACATGCTCAAGAAATTCAACGAACTACAAGTGGTATAAAAACAAAGAAATCCATACCTAGATACATCAGAGTCAAACTATCAAAAGCCAATGACAAAAAGAGAATCTCGAAAGCTACAAAAGAAAAATAACTCAGCATATACACTCTAGCTTCAAATTCCTCAATAAGATTAACAACTGACTTCTTATCAAAACCATTCAGGCAAGAAGGCAATGGGATAACATATTAAAAGTATTGTAAGAAAATGACTGTCAACCAAGAATTCTATATCTAGCAAAGGTATCTTTGAAAAAAAAGAAGAAATGTCCAGATAAATGAAAAATGAGAGAGTTCATCATGAGTAGATCTTCCCTACAAGAAATACTAAAAGGAGTCTCTCAGGCTGAAATGAAAGGACACTAGATGGTAACTTCATCCACACAAAGAAATAAAGAGCACTGCAGGGTAATTACATAATTAAAAAGACAGTATAATGTATTTTTAATTGTAATTCTTTTCTTATCCTATCTGATTTAAAAATAGCTACATAAATGAGTAATTATAAAACTGGGTTGTTGGGCTTATAATGTATAAAGATGTAATTTGTACGATAATATTAACACAAAGGAAGGGGGCAGGAAATGGACCTATATTGAAGCAATCTTTAAATATATTGTTGAAATTAAGTTGGATTGATATGGATTAGATTGTTTTATGATAAAATGTTATAATCCCCAGGGCAAGAATAAGAAAATAACTAAAAATATATGGTAAAACAAACAAAAGAATTAAAATGATATGCTAGAAAATATCAATTGAATTCAAAAGAAGACAGTAATGAGGGAAAAGAAAAACAAAAAAGATGTAGGACATATAAAAATAGCAAAATGGAAGGTGTAGAGCCTATCTTTTCAGTAAATCATATTAAATGTAAATAGAGTAAACATACCAATCAAAATGCAGAGGTTGTGATTTTAAAAAATGAATCAACTGTTATCTATAAGAGACATACTTTACATTCAAAGACACAAATAGGTTGAAAGTAATAGGATGGAAAAAGATAATCCATGAAAGTAGTAACCAAAGGGGAGCTGGAGTGGCTAGTTATACTAACAGTAGACCAAATAGACTCTTAAGACAAAAATTATTACAAGAGACAAAGAAAAACATTTTATAATTGTAAAAGTTTCAATCTATTAAGAAGACATGGCAATTAAGAATATATATGCACTTAATAGCAGAGATCCAAATACATGAAGCAAAAACTGAAGTGAGAAATAGAAAATTCAACAATTATAGTTGGAAACATCATTACTCCACTTTCAACAATGGATAGAACAACTAGGCAGAAGATCCACAAGGATATAGAAGATCTGAAAAAAACAGTAAACCCACTAGAGCTGGTAGTTACCCACAGAACACTCCACCACCACCAACAGAATAGACATTCTTTATATGTGTATATGGAATGTTCTCAAGAATAAATCTTGTCATGAGAAGAATAGTGGCCCCCAAAGATATCCATGCCCTAATCCCTGGAACCACGTTACATTACATGACAAAAGGGGCTTTGCAGATATGATTAAGGGTATAAACCTTGAGATGCAGAGATTACCCTGGATTGTTTGGGTGGGCCCAATCAAAATACATGAGTTCTTAAAAGTGGAGACACTTTCCTAACCATGGTAGGGAGATGAAATGGAAGGAGGAGGAGACAATTGAGGTGTGAGAAAGGTTTAAGTGACTACTAAACTGATGGACTTGATCCACCATTGCTGCCTTTGAGGATGGAGGAAGGGGACTATTAATAAGGGAATGTGGGTAGCTTCTAGAAGCTGGGAACAGTTCAGCTGACAGCCAGCAAGGAAGTGGGAATCTCAGTCCTACAACTTGCAGGAACTGAATTCTGCCAACAACTCGAATGAACAAGGGAACTCTCCGAGAATTTCCACAAAGGAATACAACCACACAGATTCCTATTTTTAGCCCAGTAAGACATGTCAGACTTCTGATCTTCAGAACCACAAGATAATAAATTTGTGTTAGGTGCAAATTTGTGGTAATTTGTTATGGCAGCAATAGAAAACACATACATGTATATTCATCCATAAAACAAAATGCAGTAAATTTAAAATAATTGAAATCATATAGAATATGTTCTCTAACAATAGCAGAGTGAAATTCAAAACCAAAAACAGAAAGAAATTTCGGACATCCACAAATATGTAGAAATTAAATGACACACTCCAAAATAATCAATGGGTCAAAGAAGAAATCACAATGAAAATTAGAAAATTATTTGAAATGAATGAAAATAAAATCACAACATATCAAAGTGTATGGGATGCAGTCAAAGCAATACTTAGGGAGACTTTTATAGCTGTAAATGCCTATATTAAAAAGAAGAAAGATCTCGATAACCCAGACTTCCACCTTAAGAAAGTAGAAAAGGAAGCGCAAACTAAGCCCAAAGCAAGCAGAAAGAAGAAAATAATAAAGATTGTAGTGGAAATAAATAAAACGGAATAGAAAAAACACTAAGGGAAAAAACAAGAGTAATTGCTTCACTGAAAAGAGCAATAAAATTAGTAAACCTTTAGCTTGACTGAGAAGAAAAAAGTTATGTGCCCTATTTCATTCCCTATACATTAAATTATTAAATTATTAATGTATAGGGAATTAAATTATTAAATTAATAATGTTTAGAGAATGAAATAGGGCACACCACTACCACCTCATAGAAATAAAAGGATTATAAAGGAATACTATAAACAATTGTAAGACAGCAAAATTTTAACTTAGGTGAAATGGAAAAATTCCTAGAAAGACAGGAACTACAAAAACTGAATCAAGAACAAATAGAAAATTTCAATAGACCTTAGTAAGTAAAGGGATTAAATTAGTAATTAAGAAACTCACCATGCACAAAAAAGCTCAGTACCAAATGGTTTCGCTGATTAGTTTTCCCAAACATTTAAAAAAGATTATTGTCAATTCTTCACAATCTTTTCCAAAAATAGAAGAAACAAACTTCAACTCATTCTATGATGTCATTATTCTCATGATACCAAAACAAAAGACATTCTAAGAGAACACAGCAATATCTTTCATGAATATTAATACAAAAATTATCAACAAAATACTAGCACACTAAACCCAGAAACATATAAAAATGATTATGTATCACAATCAAGTGACATTTATTTCAGGAATGCAAAGTTGGTTTAACATAATAAAATAAATCTAATTAATACACCACATTAATAAAATGAAGGACAAAATCCACCTAATCTCAATAGATGCAGAAAAAACATTTGACAAAATCAATATCCTTTCATGATAAAACACTCATAAAACTAGAAATAGAGGAGAATTTATGAAATCTAATAAAGAACATCTATGAAAAACCACAACTGACATCATCCCAAAGGGTGAAAGAGTGGATACTTTCCTTCTAAGACCAGTAAGAAGGAAAGGAAGTCCATGCTCACCACTTCTATTCAACATTGTATTAGAGATCTGAGCTAGGGCAATTATGCAAATAAGTATGTAAATTTAAAAAATAGCATCCAAATTGAAAAGAAAGATGTAAACTATATTTACAGATGACATAATCTAAGGAATTCACAAAATAACTATTACGACTAATAAATGAGTTCAGCAAGATTGCAGATACAAGAACAATATGAAAAACAATTGTATTTCTACACACTAGCAATGAATAATCTGAATATAAGATTAAGAACAGAATTCCATTTACAATGGCATCAGACAAAATAAAAGGCTTATGAATAAATTCAACAAATAAGTCTAAGACTTGTACGTACTGAAAACAATAAAACACCACTGAAGGAAATTAAAGAAGACCTAAATAAATGAAAAAACATCCTATGTTCATGGATTTGGAAGACTTAATATTGTTAAGATGTCAATGTTTCCCAAATTGGTCTACAGATTCAATGCAATCTTGATTGAAAGATTGTGTGCCTTTTTCTCAGAAGTTCACATGCAGATGCAAGAGACCCAGAATAGCCAACATGATCTTGAAAGAGAGAGGACTACACTTCCTGATTTAAAAACTTAATACAGGTTGGGTGCAGTGGCTCACACCTGTAATGCCAGCACTTTGGGAGGCTAAGTTGGGAGGATTGCTTGAGCCCAGAGTTTGAGATTAACCTGGGCAACATAATGAGACCCCATCTCTACAAAAAATAAAAAAAGATTAGCTGGGTGTGGTGGTGTGTGCCTGTAGTCCCAGCAACTTGGGAGGCCGAGGTGGGAGGATCACTTGAGCCCAAGAGGTCTATGATGCAGTGACCTATGATCAAGGCACTGCACTCCAGCCTGGGCAACAGAACAAGACCCTATCTCAAAAACAAAATGAAACAAAACAACCCCCCCAAACCCCAAAGAAAACCAAACTTACTACCAACGTCTAGGAATCAAGATAGCCCAATACTAGAAATGTAATAGAATTGAAAATCCAATATTAAACCTTCACATTTATGGTTAACTGATTTTTGACAAAGGTGTCAAGACAATTCAAGAGGATTAAAAAAAAGCCTTAACAAATGATGCTGGGACAACCGGATTTCCACATGTGAAGGAATGAAGCTGGACACTTACCTTACATCATGTACAAAACTTAACTCAAAATGGACCAAAGTTCTAAATGTAAGAGCTAAAACTATAAAACCATAGAGGCAAATGTTCATGACCTTGGATTGGTAAAAGGATTATTAGATATAATACCAAAAGCAGAAGTGACCAAACAAAAAAAAATAAGCGGGGCATTATCAAAATTGACAGCTTTTGTGCTTCAAAGGACACCATCAAGAAAGTCAAAAAGCAACCCACAGAATGGGAAGAAGTATTTGCAAATCATATATATATATATATATATATATATATATATAAAATTTGATAAGCCACTTGTATCCAGAATATATGAAGAACTCTAACAATTCAGCAATAAAAGACAATAACCTAATTAAAACATGGGCAAATGATTTGAATAAATATTTGTCCAAAGAAGATATACTCATGATCAAAAAGCACCTGAAAAGATGCTTGACATTATTAGTCATTAGGAAAGCGCAAATAGAACCGCAATAAGATACAACTACACACCCATTAGGATGGCTTTCATAGAAAAAGACAGGCAATAAGAAGTGTTGGTGAAGATGCAGAGAAATTGAAAACCCCATTCATTGCTGGTGTGAACATAAGATGGTGCTGTCACTTTGGAAAACAGTTTGGTAGTTCCTCAAAAAGTTGGGTGTAGTATTATCATATGACCAAGGAATTCCACTCCTAGATACATACCCAAGAGAACTGAAAACCTATATCCACACAATATCTTGCACAAGTGTTTTCAAAGCAGCATTATTCATAACACCCGAAAAGTAGAAACAATCCAAATGTCCGTCAACGAATGGGTAAACAACTGTGGTATTCCTTTCCAGTGGTAAGAGACAGAATTGATTAGGGAAATGAGGCAGATTCACTAAACTCCACTGAAGGACGGACCTGAGCCAACAGTTCACAGGAAAATGACACAAAAGGCCTTTAAATATATAAAAAGCATCATGTTTAAAGCTTCACTTGTCATCATGGGAAGTCAAACTAAAACACTGAATTACTATACTTTGTCCACCAGATGAGTGAGGATCAAATTTTGAAGATGTACTGTCTTAGTAAGAGGTTTAGGAAATTGGTATTTTCCTTCTGTACTGATGAGAATGGGGACTTCTTGACAAAATCTATCTTAAGTACAATTCCACATGCCCTTTGATCTAAACACAATATTTTAGGAGTCTATCCTATGATGATACAAAGTAATATAAGAATGTTTATTGCAATAACTTCCAATAACAAGCTACCGAAACCAGCCTAAACAACCAAAAACAGATTAAATGAGTAGAGATTGGTTAAATAAATTATGGTACATTCACAATGAAATCTTACACTGCTGTTAAAAAGTATTAATTTTTCCTAAAGATATATTAAATACATATAATTAAAAATAGAAAGAAGACTAGCATTAGACAAAAGCTAGAGAAGTAGGGAAAGTACATATATTTTTGCGTATTCCTAGAGAATTTCTAGAAGCATATACAGGAAACTTAACAATCGTGAGAGAGTTTGGAGAGGACTTTGGCTGGGGGTTCTGGAGTGGTGCAGAGATTTATTTTCACCACTTACTCTTTTGTACTACTTGATTTTCTAGAAGCATATGCAAGATGAATTTCTAGAAGCATATACAAGAAACTTAATAACTGTGAGAGAGTTTGGAGAGGACTTTGGCTGGGGTCTCTAGAGTGGTGCAGAGATTTATTTTCACCATTTACTCTTTTGTACTACTTGATTTTTATCAAGTGCGTGCATTACTTTTTTGCCTTTTAGGTTTTTATTTTATGCATGTTTAGACTTTTAAATTTTCAAATAATCATAGATTGACAAGAATTTGTGAAGGGGTCCCAATATCCTTCACCCAGTTTCTCCACTGTTTACGTTTTACATTCTACAAAACAATATCAAAACAAAGAAACTGACATTAGCACAATGTGTGTTCTTCTATTACATTGTATCACATGTGTAGATTCCTGTAACCACCAAGACACAAAACTATCCCATCATCCCAAGATCTCTCCTGCTACCTCTTTGTAGTCACACTTCCCCACCACCGCCTCTAACGCCTGCCAACCACTAATCTGTTTTCACTGTTTATAATTTTGCCCCTGGAAGAATGTTATACAAGTGAAATCGTACAGTATGTGACTTTTTGAGATTGGTTTTTTTCACTTAGCCTAATGCTCTTGAGATCCATCCATTTAGTTATTTGCATGAATAATTTGTTTCTTTTTATTGCTGAATATTGGCATAGATGTGTCACTTAGTTTAAGCATTCACTTAGTGAGGGACATTTTGGTTCTTTTCTAGTTTCTGGCTATGATAGGAAGACACAGGAGAAAATCATCTGGACCTAGGAGTTGAGGATGAGTTCATAGGCATGGCACCCAAGTACGATTCATTAAAGAAAGAATTGATAAATTGGACTTCATCAAAATTAAAAACTTTGCCTCTGCAAAATATTCTGTTAAGATGATGAAAGGACAAGCTATGGAGGGGAGAAAATATTTGCAAACTGCGTATCTGACAAAGGACTCACATTTACAATGCATAAAGAGCTCTCAAAACTCAACAGTAAAAAAAAAAAATCTGATAAGAAATTGGGCAATAGACATGAAGAGACATTTCATGGCCGAGTCAAATCAGCATGTGGAAATATACTTAACATCATTAGCCTTTGGGGAAATGCAAATTGAGATCATGAGAAATCACTGCACACTTATTTGAGCAGTTGAAATAAAAATATAATGATAAAACCAAATGCTAGCAAGGATGCAGAGAAACCAAATTTCTCATCCCTTGCTTGTGAGAATATAACATGATACACACAGCCACTCCCAAAAATAGATTGACAGTTTCTCAAAAAACATGCACTTACCATATTACTCAACAATCACATTCCTGGGCTTTTATCAGAGAAATTATAATTTAAGTTTGCACAAAAAGCTACACACAAATACTCATAACTGCTCTATTCGTCATGTTTTTATTGGCAGGTAATTTACATACAAAGAAATTCAAAAATCTTAAATTTCACAATTCAATGTGTTTTGTCAAATGCCTGCACTCCTGTCCCTCCCCCACTGTAAGATTTACAACACTCTAGCACCCCCAAAAAGTTATTTCATGCCCCCTTCAGCTAACCTCTACCATGCCACTCCATCCATAAACCCCAAAGCAACTATTAAAAAAAAAAAAAGGCAAAAAACGCAATTACTTTCGCACCAACCTAATACTAGTCTGATTTTTAAATCACAGATTCATTTTCATATAAATGGAATCATACAATGTTTATTCTTTCATACCTGACTTCTTTCATTCAGGAACACGATTCAGAGCTTCTGCTGTGCAGTAGGGGGCATCAATAGTTCATTTTCTTTTTATTGTCTGCTACCATTCCATTGTATGGATTCAACCTAGTCTGTTTATTCATTCTCCTGTGAATGAATATTTGGGTTATTTCCAGTTTTTGTCTTTTATGAATAAAGCTTCTATTTTCATCTTTTCAGAAGTCTATTTGTTAGATATGAGTTTTCACCTCTTTATCCTTGGATAAAAACCTAAGGATGGACTCGCTGGATAATATAATAGGGTATTTGTTTAAATTTACAAGAAACAACCAAACAATTTTCAAAAGTGTTTGCGTTCTTTTCCTTACTCACTAGAAATACATGAGGTGGGCTTGTTTGAAGTTTGTGGATGTGTATGCGCTTCTCATGTGTGTACTGGCATTTGTCTACGTTCCTTTGTGAATAGTTTACCCAAGCCTTTTGCTCATTTTAAAAAACTGAACTTTTTGTTGAGTTATAGGAATTCTTAAATACTCCAGAATCAGGAATCAAGTCACTTTTTTATGTTTTATGCATATTTTCTCCTAGTCTTTTACTTGTCTATTGACTTGTTTCTTACTGATGAAGTTTTTTTCTCACGGCTTAAGTCCAAGGTGTGTCTTTTTCGTCCAGCCAGGTGGCCCCGGCAGGTCGCTCCTCAGGGACCCACATGGGCCAGGGCGGTGCAGCAGTGACCCACAGGGGCCAGTGCAGTTGAAGTGGCTTTGAAACCTGATTGGAGAAACAGACTGCTCAGCTGTTGAGAACACACAGCGCTCCAGAAAACTGGTGTTCAACACAACGCGTCACTCCGGCTTCCACTGCTGCTGCGGAGAGTCAGGTTCTCCGGCAAGGCCCCGCGCGCCCGCCCCCGCGCGCCCGCTTCTCTGTCCAGGGAACGCCTTTCTGCGGGCGGAGGCGGCTACGAGGGGGCGCTGCGAAAGCGGATTTCCAGGCACGCCTGGCGCCACTAAGCGGCGCTGAGACGGCGCTGCCTCCTGACTGCCGGTTGGAGGCTACAGGGGCTCTGGGGCAAGGGCCGCTTTTAGGAGTTTGCTGGTCACGAGGGGGGACGCGACCTCGTCCAAGATCTGTCTGCAAGGGACCCTTCCCAGCTGATGTGAACACAGCCCGGGGAAAGGGGCCGTCCGGGGAGCACAGGCAGCCCGGGAAGAGGAGTAGGGGCTGAAACCAAAGGCAGCCTGGGTACCCAGGTTTTCCCAGGGGACAAGTCCCCCGGTTAGCTGGGCACAGGGAGGCATGGAGAGCGGCAGCAACTGCGTTGGGATGGGGCGGCTGCCCCAGGTTGGGGCGGTGACCCATGTTCCACCAGGCCAGGCGCAGGGCTGAGGTGGCCGACTCCTGTTTCACAAGTGAAGACCTGGTCACCCCAGCAGCAAGGCATTCCGGAGTGGGAGAATTCCTGAGTCCTGGGGAGGAAGCCGTGGTTACAGGGCTGTGGCCCTGAGCAGGAGCTGGCTGGCCCAGCAGGGTGGGCCGAGCACTTCAGTCAAGGCTGAGCGCCAGGCACCAGGGACTCAGGTCTGAGAGACCTGATGTACATCCTGCTCCAGAGCAGATCACAGAGATGCGCCCGCATGAATCCCCAGGCTAAGCCCAGAATTCCGTGGAAGATGCCCATGGGCCAGGAACACGGGTAGTCACCGCGCTAGGGCATCACACAGGGCCCCCCTTGGCCAAATACCACGAGGGAACTTGGACACCTGCATGGGGCCATGGAAGTGCCTGCAACCTCACACTCAGGCCTAGGGCTTACCGAGGTATTGCAGATATTTGTGTTCTCAGAGTAGGAGCTTAGGAATCAGTATCTTCTCTTCGCTACAGGGACAGAGATGCAGTGGCCTAGGACACATCACAAATATTTAAAACGATGTCCTTGGTCAAGGACAGAGGTAGCCAAGGCCAGCCTTCTCCCAGGAAACTAACCCAGGACCCCAAAGCACAGAGCTGTTAGGTGGGAGGGAATTGGTCTGTATGTCTCCCTATACTGTTGCAACACTTCGGCGCTGGGCTCCCTGTCCCAGACTCACCTTCCATACTCAAGCCAGAGGCTTACGAAAGCCGGGTTAAGATCCTCCCCTGCCTGTCCCTGTAAAGCTTCCCCACTGTCTCTGGAAATCGTTTGAGCTTCTTAGCCCCACAGCATGAGCCCGCTCTGACTCAGGCCCTGACAAGCTCTTTCTCTTCTGTCTCTCCCTCCTCTGTTGATATGGACACACCATTCCTTTGGCATGTCTAGTACAGACCAGATCCCCTGCTGTTGTTAGCATTCCTCCCTCTCCCTGGAATGTTCTTCCTTATCTGTCTACCTGATAAGCACTGAGTCATCCTGCAAAACTCTGCACAGCTTTCACCTTCCCTGAGGAGCCTCCCCTGGCCAGCCCCACCCTGTTGCAGGCAGAATGCTTGGCGGTGGGTTGCTGACCAACGATGTGGGTTGCTGACCACAAATCCATTCCCCCTTTATTCCTTGCCAAGGGAATGCTGATTTTGCTCAGGTTGTCAACCCTCAGGGAGGTGACCCTAAACATGCCAAGTCCAACACACTAGCTCTACCCCCTGAGAGCATGAGAACAACACAGATGGGCATGTGCCCGGATCTGGCCTTGCCCTCATGGACTGCAGGTCAGGGGTGGGAAGCTCTTATAGAGCAGCCCCAGGAGCCCTAGGGGCCATCCTGCTGGCCATGCCATGGCAGTGTCAGAACCCCAAACAGCACCTGGGGTGAAGGAGCTACTGAAAGAGTGGAGAGACTCCACTTTGTCCTGTTAGATCTGTCTCAGAAGTATTTTTATTAGGATTGACTGGGGAAGCTTTCTTCCACAGGGAGCCTAAGGGGGCCCAGAGAGTCTTCTCAGAATTGGAGGCCATCAAGGATTGGCTCAGGCTCGCTGGCTACTAGGCTCTCCTGTTCCCAAAGTCCATACTCTTGTTTGTTGTTATTCAAAAATATTTGTTGAAAGCCTGCTATCTACTAGGCCCTGAATGTTTAAAAACAAATAAAGTTGTGCTCATCGGTGTCCACACACACGATATCCCTTGCTTGTGGAGTCACGCTCTGCTATTACTCCTGTTAGCACTTCAAGCCCCTTGTGTGTGCCAGACCTGGGCCAGGTGCTTTAGAAGCAATGCTTATGTCATGGCTTCCTCAACAGTTGTGCTAGGTAAGTACTGATGCCTCACTTTACAGAAAGGGATCTGGACTCCCTTACACAGCTAGTAAGCGATGCTGTTGGGACTCCCCAGCCTGACTCAGAAGCTGAGCTCTATCTACCTCCCCTGCCCTACTGATGACTCCACCTTTCCCAGGCAATGAGTGTTCCTGGAACGTTCCACTGAAGGAAGCTTCACCCACAGGAACGCAGGTCGTCTGGGAATGTGGGAGGCATCTCAGCTCTCAGTGCCTGCCGGCTTCCCTCTGCCCCAGCACTCGGGGGCTGTGGTGCACCAGCGAGTGCCCAGGCTGTGTAACCGCATCCCTGAGGAGCATGCAGTCCCGCAGGGGTGCGGTAGGTCTCAGGTGCAGCATTTGTAAGCAGCTCCCGGGCTGGTTCTGATTTTGCTGCATTGAGAAGCCTCTGTCTCACTTCCCACTCTAAGGTTTTAGAAAATAAGTGTTCTGGGAATCGGAGCCCTGGCTATCAGTGTGGAGTCCTGGAGCTCCAGACCTCCTGCTGAGAAGGAAGGGTCAGCCTCAGGCTCCTGCAGGGTCTTGCCCAGGGCCGTGCTAGTCCAGACAGGCACATTTTCACTGAAAAGGTGACTCAGACCAGCCTGTGACTACATCTATTAATATAACTTGTTCTGTGACAGGCACAGGGGAGCTGCCACGCCTTGGCCTTCCCCTGCTATGTGGCTGCCCAGAGGCCTGGGAGATGGGTTTGTCTCTATGAGAGACACAGAGGAAAAGGCAACACCAAAAAGAGAGGTGCAGATGGGCCCTGCCTGCAGACAGATCTCTCTCCAGTGGCTCCCTCATCTCCTCCCATCCCGTTCCTGGCCCAGCTTTGTGCCTAGAGGACACTGGGTCTTCGCTAGCAGCTCAGCTGTTGCAGGTGGGGTCTACCTGTGAACTTGCTACCCCGAGCCAGCTCTCACATGGGGTATGGACGACCAGGGTATGGTTTTGGCCCTGGAGTCAGGCTGTTCAGATTCTCACCTAGACTCTCACACTTACTAGTGAGTTCGGGCACCTGCCTAGCCTACTTGTGCCTCAGTTTCCTCATCTGTGGATAAGGATACTGGTGTCTACTTCATAGACTCCTTGTGAGGTTCAAGGGAGATATTGAATGTGAGGTGCTTAGAGAAGGGTCCGGCCACAGAGTAGGGACTCAGTGAGTGTCACAGTGATCCTGTCAATTTGGCAGGTCCCTACATGGACAGCCCTTTGTCCTGCTGCACTGGGTGCAAGGCCCAGTGCCAGACTACCTTGGCCAGCAACTGACTTTGGAAACCACCCAGCACTGGGCTCTCCCTGCCATGTCCACCTCCTCAAAGGCAGGTTCCCAGCAGTCTGGTTGAAGCTGCAGGCCTCCATGGCCCCTTGTCCTGGAAGAAGTCTGCTTCCCTGGGGGCCAGGACAGCTGCCCCACCTCAGCCTGGCTTCCTCTTTGTCCCACCTGTCCAGAACCTAGCATGTCTGACCCTGAGGACACTTGCTTGGGTTGCGACATCTATGATCCAGAGACTCCCTGAAGCTGGACAAGCCTGGGTATCCCACAAAAGCTCACAGAGAACCTGGGGCTGGGCAGAGAGACCCAACTGCTCTCTGACTGGAGCCTGCTGGCCATTGGACCCTAGCAAGTCACTCAGTGTCTCTGAGCCTTCATTTCATCATCTGCAAAACAGAAAGTGCAGCCCTGACATCCTGAGGCTGCCTGGGAGGAAAGGAAAAGGGTGTGCAGAGCCGGCAGCCGGGAGATGTCACCTCTGTCCCCTTCTGGATATTCAACTCCTTAGCACAGCGATGGCCTCAGGCTCAACCATAGACAGAAAGCTCCCGAGAACCCATCAGTTCTGCTGGGCATGGGCTGCCCTGAGCCCCGGGTTCCTCCAGGCTCTAGCAGGCCAGGTCCTCCTGCTTCCCCTCTTCCCTCTCCAGTCTTGACAAATGAACATCATTGATCCCTGAGGTGAAGGCATTGATGGGTCCCCAACAGCAGGTTCAGGTTACTCTCATGCTCAAAGCCCTTCAGTGCCTTCCCACTTCTCTTAAGGTAAAGCCTAACTCCTCAGCCTGCCAGGCAAGGCCTTTCAGGACCTGGCCCTGCCTGCTTCCCCAGGTCCATCTCCTCCGGTACCAGGACCCTTGAGCTGTGCTGAGCAGCTTCCCTCAAAGCCAAGCTCCCCGCCCTCTGACCCTCTGCACACAGTTCCCTCTGCCAGGAGCAGTATGCCTGATTCTCCCCAAATGCACACGTGTGTGCACCCCATACACATTTACACACAAGGCTCAACCATGATACCCCCTCCTTTGAGTGGCCCCACCCCTGCAAGGGTCCCTCCCCTGGACTTTTCTCAAACCTCAGCTTCCCCCTTGCATTTCTAGATTTCTTCATCAGCCTGTCTCCCGGCCCAGGTCCCATCCCTGCCGTGGGCACTCTAGGCCTGGGGCTGTTTCTTCTCGGCCCCTTCCCACCCTCCATGCTTGGCCCAGGAGGCAGCCAAATGTAGACTGAGCCACTCCCAGCCAAGGGCGACTTTACATTTCTCAGGACTCCCTGGTGACCAGCACCCAACACCATGCAGGAACCCAAATCTCCTGCCAGCTCCCACTTACCCAGGCTTTCCACCAGGCCATCTCTTTCACTTCGGGGGCACCTTTCTCACGGAGATGAAGAGACACAGGTTGGCCTCTGCTGGGACTCCACATGTCTGGCTCCTGCAGCTGAGGAGTGAGCAGGCCGCTCACTTGGGTGTGGGGGTGCAAGCCCGCCCAGGGCAGCGCTACACCTGCCTGCCGCCCCCTCGCCCCCGGGCTCTGCCTGGCTTTGGGCGTCTCCTGTGGCTCCCAGGCCCCACCCAGACACTGCCCAGGCCTGCTCTGGGGAATTACACAACTCTCTGGCAGGTATTTGGGCTGTGGCTGTTACGCATACTGGAAATTCTTAGCTCCAGCCTGCGAAAGCCCCACTCAGTAAACACAGCTCCATGTTGATTAGGCTGGTCTCAAACTCCCGACCTCAGGTGATCTGCCCACCTTGGCCTACCAAAGTGCTGGGATTACAGGCATGAGCCACCGCACCCAGCCCATTTTCATCATTCCTAATAGCCGTGGAGTATGCCATTTAATCAACTGCATATGCAATATTATTTTTTTTTCCGGGGGCAAGGGGCTCATATTCACCACAGATGGGAGGCCAGTTGGTGAGAAGGTGGCAGGCGGCACAGCCACCTTATACAGCATGCCATGCTGGTCCACTGTCAGACCGGTGATGGCCTCAGCTCCATCACCCCCCAGGCTGACTCTGGCTCCTGCCTGGCTCTGCCCGGCCACCACAACCCCTCGGGACCATTCAGAGGCATCACTGGAGGATGTGTGGTTAGTGGAGCAGCTGGTCATGGGGAGGTCTCGTTTCTTTGGTGGAAGGCATTCCTGGTTCCTCTCATGAACAGGTTTCATATTGCTTTGTGGTGTTCCTGGAGCCTGGAAGGAGTTGGCTTGCTCCCTGGGGCATCAGGAGGGGCTTCTCTGTAGCTTCTCTGAACCCCTCTCTGCTTCTGGCTGGGGCACCTACATCTGAGCTTCCAGTGGTGCTTCTGAGCAGCTGTAGTAAGCGTCCTCCCGGCTGGCTCGGGAGCCAGCCCATTTCACCACGCTTCCAGGGATCCACCCGCTCATCCTGGAGCCGCTACAAACCTGGCCGCCGCCATCCCCAGCCCCGGAGCCGCCCCATACCCCTGTATGTGCAATATTTGTTAACCATTCCCTTTTGGTGCCCATCTAGGTACAGGTATCATTTTTGGAGCTAAAGTATCTATAATACACTGGAAGTAACAGATGTCACCTCCATATTGTACGCCAAACCTAATAAGCAGAGCAAAACTTTTCATCCAAGCGATTTAGTTAACATTTTAGGATGTTTCTAATCTTTCAGTAATACAAATATGCTACAATAGATCTGTGTGTTTATCCTTTGGGCACCTGTGTGTGCCTGTGCATACCTGGAGAATAAAGTCCTGTGAGAGGAACTGCCATCCAAAGAGGGTGTTTCAGTCTGTACTGCCACCAACAATGTGCTTGTGCTTCTGAGCTTGCGTTTGGGTCAGGAGAATTTGAAAGTCATCAGGAACCAAACCAGGATATAAGGTTCAGCTGTAGCTGGAAAGTGGCAAGCGTTCCAAAGCTAAGACATTGGCTATACCTGGGCTGTTCACAAACTGTGAGTCCAATTCTAGATGAGATCCAGAAGTACGGTGAGCAACTCACTTATTTTTAAGCAAAACACCTTTTCTTCTCATTTCTGCTAGGAACAAATAGCTTCCAGCAAGAGAAATAGGGGATGCAATATTTTTACAAATTACTTCTCTTTTTTTTAATTAAAAAAATGTTAAGTTAAATGCTACTTAAAGATATGTTTAACCTCTATGATACTGACTTTTAACCTCTATGATATGCCATTTAATCAACTGCATATGCAATATTATTTTTTTTTCCGGGGGCAAGGGGCTCATATTCACCACAGATGGGAGGCCAGTTGGTGAGAAGGTGGCAGGCGGCACAGCCACCTTATACAGCATGCCATACTGGTCCACTGTCAGACCGGTGATGGCCTCAGCTCCATCACCCCCCAGGCTGACTCTGGCTCCTGCCTGGCTCTGCCCGGCCACCACAACCCCTCGGGACCATTCAGAGGCATCACTGGAGGATGTCTGGTTAGTGAAGCAGCTGGTCATGGGGAGGTCTCGTTTCTTTGGTGGAAGGCATTCCACCCTCTCTCATGAGAAGAAAGAGAGAGGGTCAGGCATCTTGCCCACTACTACCCACTATCAACACTTAGGCCTGACATCAGTCTCTAAATAAATATTCTGGGCCAGGTGCGGTGGCTCACGCCTGTAATCCCAGCACTTTGGGAGGCCAAGACAGGTGGATCATGAGGTCAGGAGATCGAGACCATCTTGGCTAACATGGTGAAACCCCATCTCTACTAAAAATACAAAAAATTAGCCAGGAGTGGTGGCGGGCACCTGTAGTCCCAGCTACTGGGGAGGTTGAGGCAGGAGAATTGTTTGAACCCAGGAGGCAGAGGTTACAGTGAGCCAAGAACATGCTACTGCACTCCTGCCTGGGCAACAGAGTGAAACTCCGTCTTTAAAAAAAAAAAAATCAACAGCAGCTTCTAGGATGATGAGCAGTGACTCAGTCTCTCCTTGACCAGATTCTGTAACCATCCAGCAGAAATGCTTATCTGATCTCTGCGAGAACAGGAAGCAGCTCAGTGGGGGCCTTCCTTGCTAAATTCTTCATCAAGCTGGTCTGTTATCTGCCCTGAGTCCTGCAAGAACATCTCAAGAAAAATCCCAAAAACATGCAAGACAAATGAGGGTCCTCCCTTAGCATGTCTTGAAGCACTGAGGCACCTGAAAGTTGTATATAGTTTCTGGGGAAACAGTTTTTTAGGAAATGTAGCACAGACACTAACTATTCTTCCAGAAGAGCCCCTTCCTGACATGAAAGATCTTACTTAGCATGACAGAGAAGTATCTGATTCATCATGAGGACCTATCCAACCAGCAGCAGGGGCCCCAGTGCCAGTGTCCACCTCAGCAGAGGAGACACGGGGGACATGCAAAGTGTTTCTGTTGAAAAATACTTCACCTAGGGTGACTATAGTTAGCAGCAATGTATTGTATATTTCAAAGTAGCTAGAAGGCTAGGTACAGTATCCCATGCCTATAATCCCAGCATTTTGGGAGGCCCAGGCAGGCAGATCACCTGAGGTCAGGAGTTCGAGACCAGCCTGGCTAACATGGTGAAACCCCATCTCTACTAAAAATAAAAACAATAAAAAAAATAATAATAAAAATTAGCCGGATATGGTGGCCTGCGCTTGTAGTCCAAGCTACTTGGGAGGCTGAGGCAGGAGAATTGCTTGAACCTGGGAGGCAGAGGTTGCAGTGAGCCGAGATCACACCATTGCCCTCCAGCCTGGGTGACAGAGCAAGACTCTGTCTCAAAACAAAAACAAAAACAAAAACAAACAAACAAAGTAGCTAGAAGAAGGGACTTGAAATGTACCCAACACATAGTAATACCAAATATTCAAGGTGATAGACACCCCAAACACCCTGATTGATCACTATTCTGTGCATGTAATAAATACTTAAATGTACTCCATAAATATGTAAAATATGTTATGTCAACAAGAAAATACTTTGCCTAGTGTTTCCATCCAAATGGGAATAAATCCAGCGCTCAATGTACACATGTCATGGCTTTTTATTGAGACTGGGGAAGGGCCGTGGTAGCAGGTGCACTCACTGTCCAAGTTTGTCCAGACTTTCTGCTGCATGGGTGATGGCATTTGTGACTGTGTTGGTCACTGTCTCGGTGATTTCCTTCATCTTTTTGTCCCCTGACTCCTGGGCTTTCTTTATGGCTTCAGCAATGGCTGTTGGAAAGAAAGAGGAAGAATGTCCTAGTGATCCACCTGCTGAACTTGTGTCCCCTTGAGTGGCCTGTGGGATGTGGCCATCTTAATGGATTAGTCTCTGGAGTGGCCCGATGGGACCAAGGGCAGCAGGATTACTGCAGAATGAATTTGAATTTGGTTTTAATTTCCCCAACAACTTGCATTTCTTCAACTGTGAGTGAGACTGAGCATCTACTCATGGGTACATTGCCTGCTTATCCTTTTTTCTGGAAAATGCCTGCTTATGTCTTTTGACCATTTTTATATTGGGTTGTTATATTGGATTATCATTTTTATGACAAATATTTTTCATCAGTGTATAATTTTTCTTTTGGCTTGGTTATAGTGTTTTTTTTTTTTTGGCTATAGAAAATTTCAGTTTTGGATTGTCAAATTTACTTAATATTTCCTTTATGGCGCTGATTTTTTTGTCATAGTTCTGAAGATTCTCCCCTCTCCAAGATTAGGCCAAAGTCTCTGAAGTTATTACTATGTCTAAATGTTTATGATGTCTTCCCCCTCAAAACTCATATGCTGAAATCCTCAGTCTTAATGTAATGATATTAAGGGGTGGGGCCTTTGGGAGGTTGAAATTAGCACCCACATAAAAGAGACCACAGAGAGCTAGCTCCTTCCACCATGTGAGGACAGAGCTGGGCCCATCCATGAACCAGAAAGACTCCCTCACCAGATGCCAAATGTGCCAGTGCCTTCCTTGATCTTGGACTTCCCATCCTCCAGGAGTGTGAGAAATAAATTTCTGTTGTTTCTAAGTCACCCAGTTTATGGTTTGTTTTTGTTTTTGAGACAGAGTCTTGCTCTGTCACCCAGGCTGGAGTGCAGTGGTGCAATCTCAGCTCACTGCAACCTCCGCCTCCCAGGTTCAAGGGAGTCTCCTGCCTCAGACTCCTGAGTAGCTGGGATTACAGGCATGTGCCACCATGCCCAGCTGGTCTTTGTATTTTTAGTAGCAATGGGGTTTTACCATATTGGTCAGGCTGGTCTCGAACTCCTGACCTCAGGTGGCCCACCCGCCTTGGCTTCCCGAAGGGCTAGGATTACAGGCGTGAGCCACTGCACCTGGCCTATGGTATTTTATAATAGCAGCCTGAGCTAAGATGGTTATCTCCTAGTAAGTTAATAAATTCATTTATGTAAATGTAAGTCCTTCATCTACCTGGAATCTATTTTGTTGAAAAGGAATGAGATATACACATGCTTTGTACATAGTACTACTCATAGCTCACACACATCAATTTAACATTTAACATAGAATTTTACATGTTAATTTTTTTTTTTTTTTTTTTTTTTTTTTTTGAGACAGAGTATCACAGTGTCGCCCAGGCTGGAGTGCAGTGGCGCGATCTCGGCTCACTGCAAGCTCCACCTTCCAGGTTCACGCCATTCTCCTGCCTCAGCCTCCCGAGTAGCTAGGACTACAGGTGCCCGCCACCGTGCCCAGCTAATTTTTTGTATTTTTAGTAGAGATGGGGTTTCACCGTGGTCTGGATCTCCTGACCTCATGATCCGCCCACCTCAGCCTCCCAAAGTGCTGGGATTACAGGCGTGAGCCACCGCCCCCAGCAATTTTTTTGAGACCGAGTTTCGCTCTGTAGCCCAGGCTGGAGTGCAGTGGCATGATCTAGGCTCACTGCAAGCTCTGCCTCCCAGGTACACACCATTCTCCTGCCTCAGCCTCCCAAGTAGCTGGGACTATAGGCACCCACCACCATGCCCGGCTAATTTTTATGTATTTTTAGTAGAGACGGGGTTTCACCGTGTTAGCCAGGATGGTCTCGATCTCCTGACCTCGTGATCCGCCCTCCTCAGCCTCCCAAAGTGCTGGGATTACAGGCATGAGCCACCGTGCCCTGCCATGTTAAATGTTTTGTCCCAGTGTGCTGTCACATAGTCTTGTGTGACTTTGTCTTCTTATTCCACAGAGAGAACCATCTAGACAGTGTCCTAACGCAGTACGGTCTGTGGCCTCTGATGAGCATAGATAACTGCCCCAGCCAAGAGGCTCTGAAAGGCTGCAACATTAGGGGCAGAGTTTGACCTGGTTAGTCAAAGAACAGGTTGGCCCAGCACCTAGCTTCCCTTCCTCCCTCCCTCCTTCCCTGCCCGACCTCAGCCGGCTGTACCTTTCTCTCCAGTCTCCTTGGCATGTCCCACCACCTCCTTCACCACTTCCTCCACGGCATGAACTGAACAGAGGAGACAAGTCCAGGGTGAGGGCTCAGAGCAGGCCGGCTGCCCCTGAGTCCAGGGTGAGGGTTCAGAGCAGAGCCGCTGCCCTCCCAGTCCAGGGTGAGGGCTCAGAGCAGGCCCACTGCCCTCCCAGTCCAGGGTGAGGGCTCAGGGCTGGCTTATCCTCACAACAGACCTATACATCCCTGGGCATCCTAGATGGGGCTCTGGGATGCCACCCCCAGCCAGGACAGACTGGCTCATGAGAAGGACCTTCCCCCACAGCTGGCTTCATTTGGAGACGCCAGGGCCTTGGCTACCGGGAGACGAGCTCAGTGAGCCCCATGAGGGCATGGGTCCCTGAAGCCCCTTGGCCCTGCCCGGCCTGGAATGGCAATGAGCAGGCAGTCTTGCCAGCTGAGACATGAAACCCAGGCTGGGCCTGTGTGCCAGGTCACACCCCTCTCAGGATGTGCTAGCGCCTGCCTCAGGTTGGTTTCCAAAGCCTCATCCACTAAGACCAGGTCTCTCAAAGCAATTCCTCCAACAAAACGGAATTCTCTGCCTACTTCAGAGTTTTTTAAAGTGTGGGTGGTAGTGTGCTAGAACTGAAGGATTTCAGAGTCAGAAGAAATGGTTCTTATTCTAACTCTACCTTCCACCTCTTGGTTCCCTCATCTTTAGAATGGGAATCTGTTGGGATGATGAGACCCAACACCAGGTCACGGGGGCGGCAAGTCCAGCGGAGTCAAAGGAATGAGAAAGAGACAGTTCGAGAGAGAAAATGGGAGCAGGGCGCTATCGCGAGTGTGGAGGCTGCGAAGGCCCCGAGTTCTGGGAGCCCACGCTATTTATTGGTGATCTAACAAAGAAACAGGTGGTGAGGATGTGGAGGTTGAAAGGCAACAGTGTATCAAGTGAATGAGAAACATATGGCTACTTGAGAGAATGGCAGTGCTAGAAGCAAGGAGCCAGCAAGTCTAGCAAGCCCTGCCTCAGCTTTTCTCCCAACACTCAGCTTTTCTCCCAACAGGAATCATAGAAAACTCAGAGGCTAGTGAAAGGTTAAAGCAGGTGGTCCACACCAGCTGCAGAGTCAAAAACAAAATACGCATCTGCTGCCATTTAGAAAGAGGACACAAACTCAGGCAAGACTTTTTCACACGATGACCCATGAGTGGGGCCTGGCTGGGCCTCCCCACACATACCTGCTGACCTCTGAATACAACATACACTTCGGGACCAGGTGCAGTGGTTCACGCCTGTAATCCCAGCACTTTGGGAGGCCAAGAGGAATGGATCACTTGAGGGCAGGAGTTTGAGACCAGCCTGGCCAAAATGGCGAAACCCCGTCTCTGCTAAAAATACAAAAATTAGTCGGGCGTGGTGGTGGGTGCCTGTAATCCCAGCTACTCAGGAGGCTGAGGCATGAGAATCACTTTGAACCCAGGAGGCAAAGGTTACAGTGAGCCGAGATCGCACCACTACACTCCAGCCTGGGTGCCAGAGCAAGACTCCATTTCAAATACAAATACAAATAAAAATAAACATGCTTTAGGGGACTTGGATGAAATTGAAAATGCCCTTTTTGACTTTGAACAGACTTGGTGACTTGTTAAGAAATCTTTGAAGCTTTAAAGTTATGGTAAAAATAAAAATCCATCTTCCTTTTCCTGCATAGGTTATTCAGAATAGGCTGTTTTGACAAGAAAGGCTCCCCAGATTTCCAGAGGGAAGGGTCCAAGCTGCCAGTGTTCACCCAGCACCAGGACTCATGCCCTGCCCCCAGGAGACCTCCCCAGGTCTGCACCCCTCAACTCCGTGCTGACTTGGTAGAGCAGGAGACCAGGGTTCCTGAGGGGCCAAGGCCTCCCCGCAGGTCCTCGCCTGCCTACGTAGATCCGCCTCCCACAGACCCAGTCTGCCCCAGATCCCCCCAGCCCAGGTAGAAAGGAGCCCCGGGTCCTCACTGGCTCCCTCGGTGGCCTTCTCGGTGCGGTGGGCCAGGCCCTCGGCAGCCAGCTTCCCCAGGCCTCCCAGCATCGTGTGGCAGCAGACAGTGGCGAACTAGGATGCTGAGGACTGGCCCAACATGCTTTTATAGCTGCCTCTGGTGTCTGTCTAGGCTCTGGGGCAATAAGCCCTCACCCCAGCCCAGTAGGAGGCTGGACAGGTGAGTCAGTGAGGGCGGCAGCAGGAAGGGGCTGGGCGGAGCCACCCTGGAACTAGGGTGGCAGCATCCCCTGACAGCATGAGGCTTCTGTAACCCTGTCCTAGGGACCCCGTGAAGGATAGGGGCAGGGAGCAGGGCTGGACAGTAGAGATCTGGACATGCTTCTTCCTTGAGGCAGAGGGCCTGAGTGCCAGCCCCCCTGAGACCAAAGCTTCCCAAGCCTGGGTACTGATATGTACCTGGAGACAAGGCCTAGGATTCCAAGCCTGCTGCTCAAGGTCCCCAGTGTGGCCTAGTAAGAGGTTTGGGGGTTCTATGGGCCTGGAGACCTGGGCAGTCCTTTGGGTCATGAACACAAGTGGAATGAGGGTGACTGCCCTCCCCATTCCTGGAGACCCTGGCTCTGCAGAGCAGTTTGCGGCCTCCATGGGACAGGGTGGGGCGTTCAGGGTGGTGCCTTGCCCGAGTCAGAGGGGGGCACAGCACTGGGCAGAAGCGTAGTCACCTGGTGTCACTCAGCTGATGCTCACTCACCCAAGAGGCTCTGTGAGGTCAGCAGTGCCCTCCTATCCCCTGGCAGTCCTGGAGGAGTAGACAGAGGCCTCCACCACCACTCAGGGAGATGCTTCTGGCCTTAGCTAGAATCCCCTAGGAAGCAGCTTCCCTGGCTCCTGGTGCATCGCATGAGGAGTGGCAGGGCTGCTCCCTAGTTACTCATGATGGACAGACATGCCTCAAGCCACCTGCCACATGCTGCTTCCCTTAGTCACCAGCCCAACCTGAGCCTCCGTTTCCTCATCTGTAAAATGGGCATAGCGTGTCTTCTTGGCTGTGTCCCTAATCATCCCTGAGACAAAGCATGCAAGCTCCTGGTAAACACCTGTTCCCTCCACTCATCATTGAGGTGCCCTTTGGCAGTGAGCTCTGACCAACTGGTAGGGTGTGCCAAGGAGTGACTGGGACGTGAGGCTGCCTTGGAGCCAGAGGGCTGGGGAATGTGACTTCTGCTGGCCAGGAGCCAAGGAGAGGTCTTCCCATGCTCCTACTTCTGGGGTGCAGGCCTGTGGCAGGGGTCTGAGGCTCTCTCCCCAATGCAGGCTCCTGGAGCTGCTCTCCTGGATGTGTCGGGGCCTGATTAGTTTACTGGACTGTGGGCCCTCCCAGCCTGGGACTCGGGAGCTGAGACCTTCTTGCATTCCTGCATGGTGTTTGCGGGCTCCAGGGCTACGGCCAGTCCCCCTAGGGTGGACAGTGGGTATCGTGGGCAGCAGGACCTCTGGGTCTCAAGACTGTGGCCCCACACATGCCATTGCTGTCTCCTTTGGGCAGGGGTGGATCGGGGCTTCAACAATTTAGAGGGGCCTCTTTATGAAAAAGAATACAATAATATGATTCTTGCACATTTTTCATTTATATACGTATGAACTTCTGGACCCAGAAGGGGCTGTGAAAGTCGGGGGCCTGGAGCTCAGGCGGGTCCAGATGACCCTGTCCTCCTTTTGTAACAGCCAGAGTCCAGGATGCTTTGCCCAGGGCATTGGGCTGGCACTGCAGAGGCCTGGGGGATGGGGGGACACCTGGGACATGGCTGGTGGGAATTGTTCTAGGAAACCTCAGGGATTCTCCCTGGACCTGTCAAAGCCCCTTCCCTGTTTCTTCTGAGGCTGTGTGTCCCCCCACTCGCACAAGGGTCCTTTCTATGCCTGCTCCCCTGATAAATGTCATCTGCCTGCTCTAGAATGGCTTCCAGACCCCACAGACCCCCTCCTCATGAGCTCCCACCCTAGGGTACTCTCCACCAGTCCGCGCTTTCAGGAGCTCACCAGACCCAGACAGCCTGTTGTCAGAGCTCATCCACACAGCAGGACCCTGGCCCACTGCCCAGCCCAGAGCCAGGCCCACCACGGCCTCTGGGGACAACTGCCCTTCCCCCCACCCCCTCCACATGGTCCCTTGCCCATGAGACCCTGCCCTGCTAATTTAATGCACTGCCTTGGTGTGAGCACTGTGATTCTAATGACAACACACCATGGCCTTCTGGGCGAGGCTGGGTCCAGACACAGATCCCAAATGCCTGCTGGGGAGAAGGCAAGAGGCCCGGGGAGGCCCAGGACAAGACATGGGTCCCAGGCCCTGGTGCCCTCCCTCTTGGCCTTCCAGCTGCTGCTGCTGTGACCAGATTCCCATTCACCCAGCCCCGTCCATGGGCCCCAGCAAGCCATCTGTGCCCCACAGAGGGCAGACCCCTAAGAGTGGGACCCCTTTCTAGCCAAAGAACATGAGATAGCCCCAAATCCTCCTAAACATGATGGATCCTGGTCTGAGGGGCTGGGCTCAGGTGACTCCTGCAGGGAACTTCACCTGCCTGGATGAGGTCAAGTGTGAATCAGGTGGGGCCTGCCCTCCACCACCCCATCATGGAAGAGGTCCAGCCCACAGTGGGCCCAAGAGGGCCGCCCTTGGACCTAGGGACCCAAGTCAGCATATCCTGAGTCAGAAGGTCAAGTCCAGCCTCCCCTCAGGCAGGGAGAATCTGGCTTTGACAGGAGCAGATAAATTCTCAAGGTGGAATTTGCCCAACATACTAGTTTGGCAAGGGACTAGCTGGCTGAATCATTGAGTCAAGGACAGCCAACGTTTCCAATAGCAATTTGCCAACTTAGCAATTACCAATTCTGAAAAACAATTTGTTTATTTGAAACACTTAAATACTTAGGCTGTCTCATGTCTGAAGCATGATGATGCCTTGCGTGATTTAAAGGACAGACGTCACGAATGCCAAGAGTTTTGTGGCGGTCCATCCTGCCAGTGTCTTCTCCCACTTTTGTTCTGTGGATTTGAGCTCACAGTTTGTGCTGTGCCCACCGCCTGCCCACCCTAACGAGACTCCTGGAGACTTGGCTGGCCAGTCACCAGAGGAAGAGGGGCCCAGCAGCACGCCAGCATTCACCCACCTGTGGGTATCAGTCAGGCTCCTGGTGGAAGCCAGAGGACATATTCGAATGGGTATTTGAGGAAAGGGGCTGTTCACAGAAGTGTGGACCGAGTTAAGGGAACCAATAAGAGATGAGGAATGTCCTGGACCAGCAAGAGTGGGAGCTGTTATCTCCCTGGGTCTAAAGGGACAGGAAAGGTGTCCACAGATCCCAAAGAGAGCTGTGGCTGTAGAGGAGGATCATCAGGAGCTGCAGCCATCAGTAGAAAGATGTGGCCACTGCCAAACCAGCAAGGAAGAATCTGAGCGAATAACCACCTCTCCTCTCTCTCTCTCTCCCACCTCCTATGACGTCCTCCACTGTGTGAATTCCACTAGGGCCAGACAGTGAGGCACCCTGGTGATGCAGTCCAAGAGGGAGTGGGCAGAGAGGAGCCAGTGGGTATGGAGGGGAAACAGAGAAACAGAGAATTCCAGCTCACTCTGCGGGATTTCTGGGTCTGATAGAAACATGGCATTATTATTATTATTATTATTATTTATTATTATTTTGAGATGGAGTTTTGCTCTTGTTACCCAGGCTGAAGTGCAGTAGCATGATCTCGGCTCACTGCAACTTCTGCCTCCCACGTTCAAGAGATCCTCCTGCCTCAGCCTCCCGAGTAGCTGGGATTACCGGCACATGCCACCATGCCTTGCTAATTTTTGTATTTTTGGTACAGATGAGGTTTCACCATGTTGAACAGGCTGGTCTTGAACTCCTGACCTCAGGTGATCCACCTGCCTCGGCCTCCCAAAGGGCTGGGATTACAGGCATGAGCCACTGTGCCCAGCCTGCAGCAGCTTAATTTTACAGTGTCCCTTTTCTCCTTCTGGAAACTATATGGGGCAACAACAAGACTGAGGAGGAAGAGGAGGAGGAGGAGGAGGAGGAGGAGGAAAAAGCCCATCATCAATACACACATCAAACTCAACTTCAGAGAAATTAGGAAGCTGGGAAGCCACGTAAACCCAAAAGCAGGAGACACCAGCAGAACCAACGCAGGAAGCCAGGGAAGTGCAGAAGAACAGGGCATGGGGGGCAACCCAGGGGGGAATCTTCACTATTGCCAGCAACACACATTCCCAGCAGGAGAGGACCCTCAGAGTGAGAACGCAGAGCTGGAGAAGTGAAGAAGGAGCAGGTGGTGCCCGGGGAAGTCCAGGGGTGTGGGATCTGAGAGCACCCCTTCCCAAGAGAGGCGGGAACACTTGGGAAGGCAGGGCTGAGTCCCTGGAGGCTGTATCTGGGAAAGGAGGCTGGCAGTAGAATCTTCCTGAAGGCGAGTGGGTTCTGAGAGGCAGAGGGGCAGTGGTACAGAGGTGAGGCTGACGCTTCTGTGCAGGAAGGTCAGGCTCCTGAGGAAGGGAGCCCCGAATGCTCTCCACTAGATTCCCAGGGAGCCCCACTCCCTCCACAGGGACCTCGCGCTGACATCTGGGAAATGCCATTCATACTGGAACGTCCAACACACTGCCATGAATGTGAGGGTTTTGTGACTGATGGGGTAGGTTTCTCTCTTCCAACTTAATAGTATAATGTCCATTTATTCCTCCCCCAGCCTCCCTGAACATGCACCTCTTAGATAGCCACAGTACGGTGATCAGAACCAGGAAATCCACATTCTCATATTTAACTATATTAAAATTATTTCACAAAATAACCAATTTTATTAATTTAATTAAATACATTTAACTAATGTTTAAATATATTTAAATAATTTAACTGATTTAAAATGAACATATTCGCTAAACAAAAGACCTTATTGGAGTTTCACCACTTTTTCCACTAATGTCCTTTTTCTGTTCCCAAATTCCACCCAGGATCACGCTGCATTTAGTTATTTCTTAGTCTCTCGCCATTTTGTAGGACTGCAATAACAGTTCCTCAATCTTTCCTTATCTTTCATAACCGTGACATCTTGAACCAGTACTGATCAGTATTTGTGAAATGTTCCTCGATTTGGGATTGTCTGATGTATTTCCATGATTGGACTGAAGTTACGAACTTTTGGCAATTACAGCACAAAAATGATGTGGAATCCTTCCCAGTGCATTCCATCAGAGTTATGGCATTGATAGTTCTTCTTACTGATGATGTTGAACTTGTTCATTTGGTTCAGGTTTCTGCTGGGTTTCTCCATTGTAAAGTTACTATCTTTCCCCCTCATAGGGGGAAAGATCTTAGGAGAAATACTTGGAGACTATGAAAATTTTGTATTTTCTCAAACTTTAAAATTTTTTTTCAGGCCAGGCACAGTGGCTCACGCCTGTAATCCTAGCACTTTGGGAAGCCGAGGTGGGTGGATCACCTGAGGTCAGGAGTTCAAAACCAGCTTGATCAACATGGAGAAACCCCATACCTACTAAAAATACAAAATTAGCCAGGCATGGTGGTGCATGCCTGTAATCCCAGCTACTCAGGAGGCTGAGGAAAGAGAATTGCTTGAACCCGGGAGGAGAGGCTGCAGTGAGCTGAGATCGTGCCATTGCACTCCAGCCTGGATAACAAGAGCAAAAGTCCATCACAAAAAAAAAAAAAAAAAAAAAAAAAAAAAAAAAAAAAGGCCAGGCGCAATGGCTCACACCTGTAATCCCAGCACTTTGGGAGGCCAAGGTGGGTGGATCACCTGAGGTCAGGAGTTGGAGACCAGCCTGACCAACATGGAGAAACCCCATCTATACTAAAATAAAATACAAAATTAGCTGGGCATGGTGGTGCATGCCTGTAATCCCAGCTACTCAGGAGGCTGAGGCAGTAGAATTGCTTGAACACGGGAGGTGGAGGTTGCTGTGAGCCGAGATCCTGCCATTGCACTCCAGCCTGGCCAACAAAAGCAAACCTCCATCTCAAAAAAAAAAAAAAACAACAAAACACCTATTTTGACAGCCGGGCATGGTGGCTCACACCTGTAATCCCAGCACTTTGGGAGGCCAAGGCAGGCGGATCACCTGAAGTCAGGAGTTCAAGACCAGCCTGGCGAACATGGTGAAACCCCGTCTCTACTAAACATACAAAAATTAGTTGGGCATGGTGGCATGTGCCTGTAAGTTCCAGCTACTTGGGAGGCTGAGGCAGGAGAATCACTTGAACCCAGAAGGCAGAGGTTGCAGTGAGCTGAGACGGCGCCATTGCACTCCAGCCTGGGCAGCAGAGTGAGGGATCTCAAAAAATTATAATAAAAAAATAATAATTCTATTTTGAATTGTGGTAAAATATACATAAAATTTACTACCTTAACCACTTCTAAGTGGCAGTTGGAACAGGGGTCAAGGAGAGCCCTTGGGTTGGGTAATGTAGAGTATATTCACATTGCCATGCAACCAATCTCCGGAACTTTCTCATCTGACAAAACCAAAACTCTATATCCACTAAGCAACTTCCCATTTTCTCCCTTCCCCATGTCCCTGGCAACCCCCGTTCTACCTTCTGTTTCTATTAGTTTGCTTACTCAGTCTGGACGCTTCACATAAGTGAAGGAACACAGTATTTGTCTTTTTCTAACTGGCTTATTTCACTTAGCATAATGTCCTCAATGTTCATCCATGTTGTAGCATGTGTTAGAATTTCCTTCCTTTTTAAGGCTGAAGAATATTTTATTGTATGTATATACCACATTTTATCAATTCATCTGCCTATGGACAATTCGGCTGCATCCATCTTTTGACGAGTGTGAATACCACTGCTATAAATATCAGTGTACAAATATTTCTATGAGACCTTGCTTTCAATTATTTTGGCTATATACCCAGAAGTGATATTGCCGGATCATTTGGTAATTCTATTTTCAATTTTTTGAGAAACTGCCTGTCCTGTGCTGAGCAGGTCTATATAAACCTACCCGCAAAGGCCAAGGAACCTGAGATACCAAAGAAAGAGGCTGACAAATCCAGTTTCTCAGAAAGAAACATTTAATAGGCGTTTATGAACAGAAGGCAAGTCAGGGATGGCACCAAGATAAGATGGTGGATCCCTGTGCCATCACCCCCACCCCCCCGACCCAGGGCTTCTATAGCATAGGGGAAGGGTAATGCGGGCTTCAGCAGGGATGTGTATGGCCAGACACGGTGGCTCACGCCTGCAATCCCAGCTCTTTGGGAGGCCAAGGTGGGCGGATCACCTGAGGTCAGGAGTTCCAGACCAGCCTGGCCAACACGGTAAAACCTCGTCTCTACTAAAAATACAAAAATTAGCCAGGCGTGGTGGCAGGCGCCTGTAATCCCAGTTACTCGGGAAGCTGAGGCAGGAGAATCGCTTGAGCCCAGGAGGTGAAGTTTGCAGTGAGCTGAGATTGTGCCACTGCAGTCCAACCTGGGAGACAGAGTGAGACTCGGTCTCAAAAAATAAAAAATATATTTTTTAAAAAGATAAAATAGAAATCATAGATGAAGTCTTGGAACTGGGATTAATCAGAATATGGCAGATTAGCATCCAAGATGGAATTGCTTTATTCTCATTCAAGGTTTCCCTCATTCTTCACTCTCCCCATGCTGGTCACCTTGCTGTTTGTTCCTCGAACACATATGAAATGCGTTTCTGTCTTGGCAGTCATCCTGCTACCTGTAATGTCAGCACTGCTTTCTGTTGTCCCTTCAGTCAGGTCACTGTTCAAATAGCTCTCTAGACAGGCTCTTCCTTATCATTCTACTTAAAATAGCCCCCAATCACTCTGTGTCCCTTTAGCCTGCTTCCTCTTCCTGCTATTTCATACTACCTGAAAAAATACTTGAACTTCCTAGAACATAAGCTCATAAAAGCAAGAACTGTGCTCCACCTCTCCTCTCCTCTACCCCAGCACTCAGAAGAGAAACAGAGTCAGCATCCAGTGAGTGTTCATGAATCAAGTCACTGCTTGGCAGAATTCAGCACTGGGACCACAGCCTCGCCTATCTTCAACTCTTTCTCCTTCTGCTTTTCCTCCTCCCACTCTAGTAGCCACTCTTCTGGGGGCTTGTCCCTTAAATGATTAGTCCTTACTGACCTATTTTCTGTCCACTTTATCTGTTTTTGAGAGAGGGTCTCACTCTGTTGCCCAGGCTGGAGTGCAGTGGCATGAATATGGGTCACTGCAGCCTCCACCTCCTGGGCTCAAGTGATCTTCCTGCCTCAGCCTGCCATGCCATGTAACTGAGGCCACAGGCATGTGCCACCATGTCCAGCTAATTTCTTGATTTTTTTTTTGGTAGAAATGGGTCTCACTTTATTGCCCAGTCTGGTCTTGAAGTCCTACACTCGAGCAGTCATCTCAACTTGGCCTCCCAAAGTGCTGGGATTACAGGCATGAGATACTGCACCTGGTCTTATTTTTTCTTTTCTTAAGATACAGGGTCTCACCATCTGGCCCAGGCTGAACTCAAACTGCTGAGCTCAAGTAATTCCCCCACCTCAGCCTCCGAAGTAGCTAGGACTAAAGGCATGAAACCACCATGCTTGGCTTGTCCAATTTCATTCTACACACTTTCTTGGTATTTAAACAGCTGCTGTTGCTCTTCATTCTGTAGCTCTACATCAGATTCATGCTCTAGTCCTGTATATCCAAATGATGACTAGAGGCTGCCGGCTCTGCTCTTTCAAAGGCACAATGAGCGTAGCCCGTCTACAAAACTCTCCCTTTTCCAATCCAGCTTTCCCTCCTGCATCACCTATCTCTCTACATCTGGAACCATCGGCAGCTGCCTTCATAAGGCACCTCAGTCTGGCATTCGGAAAACCACCGTCTTGCCAGAGCCTCTTGGTCTTGGGTAGCAAAAGCTGTATGCAATCTAAATCAAGCTTTCAATCATGAGAAATCACATTCCTTCTTTTCCCTTTGTAATATACTCATGTGTTTTTTTTTTTCCTTTCTCAATAAGCAAATTGTACCACCATCTTATTCTGAGATGCTCCTTTTTAAAAGCTGTAGATCACATTAATGGAAGTGGTTACTGCTGGGAATATTTTCCATGTGCAATGATCTGTAACCCTCTTTTTCTTTTTTTTGAGACCGAGTCTTGCTCTGTTGCCCAGGCCAGAGTGCAGTGGCACAATCTCTGCTCACTGCAAGCTTTGCCTCCTGAGTTCATGCCATTATCCTGCCTCAGCCTCCCAAGTAGCTGGGACTACAGGTGCCCGCCACCACGCCCAGCTAATTTTTTTTTTTGAGATGGAGTCTCGCTTGGTCGCCCAGGCTGGAGTGCAGTGGTGCAATCTCAGCTCATTGCAAGCTCCGCCTCCTGGGTTCACGCCATTCTCCTGCCTCAGCCTCCCGAGTAGCTGGGACTACAGGTGCCCGCCACCACACCTGGCTAATTTTTTTTTTTTTTGTATTTTTAGCAGAGATGGGGTTTCACCATGTTAGCCAGGATGGTCTTGATCTCCTGACCTCATGATCCGCCTGCCTCGGCCTCCCAAAGTGCTGGGATTACAGGTGTGAGCCACCACGCCCGGCCATTCCCAGCTAATTTTTTGTATTTTTTAGTAGAGATGGGGTTTCATGATGTTAGCCAGGATGGTCTCAATCTCCTGACCTGGTGATCAGTCCGCCTAGGCCTCCCAAAGTGCTAGGATTACAGGTGTGAGCCACTGCGCCCAGCCTAACTGTAACCCTCTTATCTCAACTAGCTGACGTTATTACTTCACATCCAGTTCAATTTATAAATTAAGAGAGGTGCCATGGGCCTGGTACGGTGGCTCACGCCCGTAATCCCAACACTTTGGGAGGCCGAGGCAGGTGGATCACGAGGTCAGGAGTTCGAGACCATCCTGGCTAACATGGTGAAACCACGTCTCTACTAAAAATACAAAAAATTAGCCAGGTGTGGTGGCAGGCACCTGTAGTCCCAGCTACCTGAGAGGCTGAGGCAGGAGAATGGTGTGAATCCGGGAGGCAGAGCTTGCAGTGAGCAGATATCATGCCACTGCACTCCAGCTGGGGCAACAGAGCAAAACATCGTCCAAAAAAAAAAATAAAAATAAAAATGAAAAAGAGGTGCCATGTGTACAAAAATCAATGCACATTTATGAAATTTTTTTTCAAATATATTTTCACACATTTTATCTAAATACATAATACAGAAGCCTGTGTGACTTGGGCAATGTGGCCAGGAGGGCCTGAGACTAACACATCCACCTTGGCAAAAGGACATAAAATATGTCTTATAGTCAGAAAAATCAACATTTTGTGTATTTACTTAGTTTACGAAAAGTACTGAAAATGCTATTACTAGCTGAATTTGTGATTTCCTTTTGAAATTCTGAGTTATCCTTATTTTTCCCATTTTGTTTTTGCACCAAGGAGACTGCAGTCAAATAAAACAGATACTACACGCACTCGTCGGGGCAGCCGTACTGCAGAAGCACGTTGATGCACTCCTGGCTGGAGGCCTGCCGGGCGTAGGTCAGCGCTGTGTTCCCGTGGGCATCTCGGGCCATGACGTCCACCCCGTACCAGATCAGGAGCTGCTCCAGGACCACATTCCCCTTGCGGCAGGCCAGATGGAGTGCCGTGCAGCCGTCTCCCTCCCCACAGGTCTCGTTCACCTCCTCACGGGAGCCATGTGCCAGCAGCAGGATGGCTGTCTGCAGGTCCTCATCAGCGGTGGCCCGCAGCAGCTGCTGGCCCAGAGACAGCTCAGTGCAGGGTAGTGGGGCCAGAAAGAGCTTCTCCTCATATTTGGAACGGATCCACCGTTCCTTCTCTTCCCTCGTGGACTTTATTGAGGGTTTTGTCTGCCCCTGGCTGCTCCCTTCCCAGATGCTGTTGGCTAGCTCATTGCCAATAGACGACATAACCTTCCTGAGCTCAACTGGCCAGTCATCCAGCTCCAGAGATCGCACACGGGAAAGGCGGGTGCCAAGACTGCGGTGGATACCTGAGCATTCAATACACATGAGGACTCCCAAGTTCAAACTGGCCCACTTAGGATTCTGGGTCTCACAGTCCACACAGTGGGCGTTCCCACGCATGTTTTGGATCGACCGCAGGGCCATGGCCTCACTCTGGCTGGTCAGCTGGGACTTGCTTTTACTGCTCTCGCATGACTGCAGGCTGGCCAGGATCTGGCTCTGGATGGCTTGGACCCAGGCATCCCGCTCCTCATACGTCGTGGCTTCAAAGTGCCACGTTTGGCCAGTGGCAGACACAATCATAAAGTTGTTGGTGCTTTTCTTCTTTAGGTGTTTCTTTTTATTGGCATGAGGAGAGGGGGGTGGGTTGAGCTTGGGGCTGGTGGTGCTGGAGATACTGGGGCTGAAGCATATGGAGTCACCCAGCCCGGTGTCCATGTCCTTGGATAGGCCATTGCTTTTAGAGCTGGAGATGGGTGCACGGGCTGATGTGGCTAGGGATGGCCACTTTCCTGGGACTTTGATGGTAGATGTCCGAAGGTCAATCTCTTTTTTATGAATATTCTTCATATAATCACCTAAGCTTGAATAATAGGTGAGCACGCCATTGGAACACAGGGTGACGTATTTCTTTTTCCATGTCTTCAGCCATTTCCCACTTCGCTTTAAGAGCATGCCCTGTTTAATGGGGATGGCTCTGCCGCTCCCGATGGTGTCAGCATGATTCTCCGGGGCTTTCCTCTCTTTGTCTGGGTCACTCCCTTTCTCAGATGTAAACAGGTTGGACCAGCGCATGGACCGCTTGCAAATGGGGGTGGGTGTGTTGGCAGTGGGAGGAACACTGAACTGAGGGTCCTCCTGGCTGGTGCTGGGAGTCGGTGGAAT
Organism: Homo sapiens; assembly: GCF_000001405.40. Lineage (NCBI taxonomy): Eukaryota > Metazoa > Chordata > Mammalia > Primates > Hominidae > Homo > Homo sapiens. The sequence continues at coordinate 48,011,580 of NC_000010.11, forward strand.
GGAGGAGGAATAGTTATTTAAACTCCCACCTCCATTTCTTTTCTTCATAATGTGCACGGTGGAAACCTGTGTGGAACAGGAGGAGGAATGGCTTCAAAAATTGGGTAGTGGCTTGCAGGATCCTATAGACAGCTCACAATTACCTTTTAAAAAGATACATTTTCTGGGCCAGGCATGGTGGCTCACACCTGTAATCACAGCACTTTGGGAGGCCAAGGTGGGTGGATCACGAGGTCAGGAGTTCAAGACCATCCTGGCCAACATGGTGAAACCCTGTCTTTACAAAAAAAAAAAAGAAAAAAAAATTAGCTGGGCATGGTGGCACATGCCTGTAATTCCAGTTACTCGGGAGGCTGAGGCAGGAGAATTGCTTGAACAGGGACCTGGGAGGCAGAGCCTGCAGTGAGCCAAGATCGCGCGATTGCACTCCAGCCTGGGCTACAGAAAGAGAGTCCATCAAAAAAAAAAAAAAAAGATACATTTTCTGTTGTTTGGATAGTATATTTACTCATACTAGCTCACTAACTAAACAGAGCTGCAGATCAGTTCTTACTCCAGCACATTCTTTTTACAACACTTAAGATGACTAAATGCAACATGAAATGGGGAAGATTTAAAAAAAGATGGCTTTGACTTCAGCATGAAACAGATACAAGTGTACGATGAAAATACAACCTCAATAAAAGTGCCACTTACCGCAAATGAGTGTAACTGTTCATCAGGTATGCTCAAAGATCTATCTGCATCTCTATAAAATAAGAAAGTGCATTACTTCAAAAACTGTTAATATCTTAGTATAATATTTGTTGAGTAAAATACTTCCTCCTGTGTGCTTTGGTGTTTACTTTACCAAAGCAGTTTTTACGAATTCTTCTCCTGGATCCTGACTTGCAGAGGGTTTCCTGACTTCTTCTTTCTCAGCACATCATGGTCTGTACCGTGAAGCCTTTTATATGATAACCAGTCAGAAATGCCCATGAGTATTGACTCTCCCTAACAGGCCATGGCAATAAACCAAACATATTTTCACTCTTCTAACCACACATTGAAACACAAGAATGTTCTACAAAGCAGTAGTAGTAAACTTTAATAAATGTAAATGTGATTCAGATTTCCTAGCTTCCTTTCTCTTTAGTTCTCTGTAGTATACTCTCATGATGTTTTTATGTATTTTCTGTTGTCTGAATGACAAACTCATCTACCTTTTTAAGAGGCCAGTCTTTGAGGAACTTTAAACTTTGTAAAACTAATGCATTGTGCCTGTGTATAAACCAGTGGTTCTCCAAATGTGCTCTGTGGACCTCTCGGGATCCCGAAGACCTCTTCCAGAAGGCCTAAGAGCTCATAACTGTTCTTTTTTTTTTTTTTTTTTTTTTTTTTTTTTTTTTTTTTTTGAGACCAAGTTTTACTCTTGTTGCCCAGGCTGGAGTGCAATGGTGCGATCTCTGCTCATGGCAACCTTCGCCTCCCAGGTTCAAGTGATTCTCCTACCCCAGCCTCCCAAGTAGCAGGGATTACAGGCACCTGCCACCACTCCTGGCTAAGTTTTGTATTTTTAGTAGAGATGTGGTTTCACCATGTTGGCCAGGCTGGTCTTGAACTCCTAACCTCAGGCGATCCACTTGCCTCGGCCTCCCAAAGTGCTGGGATTACAGGCCTGAGCCACTGTGCCTGGCCAACACTGTTCTGAATCATACTAATTAAACCTGAGAAAGCTGATGAAAAATTTTAAAAATTTGTGAAAGTAATACAAAGTCATTGCCTGCTTTTTCGTTGACACTTGCCATGATTGTATAAAAGCAAAAGTAGGTACAATGGCTGGTTTCTCAGCATAAATCAAGGCAGTGGTACCAATTACATTAGTAGTCATTCTATTCTTCACTGTCCCCTACAGGTAAAAAACATAGCCTGAATTTCTTAAGAACGTCTTTGATGAAGCAATAAAAATTAATGTTGTTAAATCTTGACATGTCTCTAATATTCTGAATAAGTGGAAAGTTAATGAGAAGTGCTTTTTTTTTTTGTTTTTAAAGAATCCGTGATTTAACTGTGAACTGAAAAATCACTTTTTTCACAGAACATCATTTTTATTTAAAAGTACAACTGGGCCAGCGCAGTGGCTCACGCCTGTAAAATCCCAGCACTTTGAGAGGCCAAAGCAGGCAGATGGCCTGAGCTCCTTCAGGAGTTCGGGACCAGCCTAGGCAACATAACGAAACCGTGTCTCTATCAAACATATAAGAAAATTAGCCTGGCGTGGTGCCACACATCTGTGGTCCCAGCTACACAGGAGCCTGAGGTGAGAGGATTGCTTGAGCTGAGATCATGCCAATGCACTCCAGCCAAGTGACAGAGTGAAACTCGGTCTAAAAAACCAGTTCAACTATCATTCTCAAAAATAAATGAAGTGAGAGGTTGTCACTTCAAGGGAAATACATATTTGTTCCCAATGATAAAATTTAAGCTTTCCTGTGGACTTTGAAAAACTTGTTCCTTCTACTGTAGGCTTGGCAGCTTTTCAATACTTAAAGGCGTGTTAAAGTAAGATTGGTGGTTAAACTAAAAGTGATTTTTGACACAATAAAACATAAACCAATATATTCCAAGTAACTAATGCATGATATTATAAATGCAAGTATGGAGCAAAAGATCCATTTACTGTGCAAGAAAGATCAATGAGTACTGATGGAATAAATTTATTAATATGTAAAATGCCACCGTAACTAATTTAAGAAACCACCACTTGTGAAGTTTTGATTTAGTGTTTTAACAAATACCCACAACTGTCTGAAAACTTTAAAAATACACCTTCTACCAACTACATATTTGCATGAGGTTAGGTCATCTTATTGCTTCTTTTTCTCTTTTTTTGAGACAGAGTCTCTCTCTGTCACCCAGGCTGGGGTGCAATGGCGAGATCTCGGCTCACTGCAACCTCCACCTCCCAGGCTCAAGCGATTCTCCTGCCTCAGCCTCCCAAGTAACTGGGACTACAGGCATGCACCACCACGCCCAGCCATTTTTTGTACTTTCAGTAGAGGCGGGTTTTACCATGTTGGTCGGGCTGGTCTCAAACTCCTGACCTCAAGTGATCCACCCACCTCGGCCTCCCAAAATGCTGGGATTACAGGTGTGAACCACTGCGCCCCACCAGCTTGCTTTTTTTGTTTGTTTGTTTAGACAGAGTCTTGCTCTGTCACCCAGGCTGCAGTGCAATGGCACCATCTCAGCTCTCTGCAACCTCCGCCTCCCAAGTTCAAGCAGTTCTCCTGCCTCAGCCTCCAGAATACGTGGGACTACAGGTGCGTGCCACCATGCCCAGCTAAGTTTTTGTATTTTTAGTAGAGACGGGGTTTCGCCGTGTTAGCCAGGATGGTCTCGATCTCCTGACCTTGTGATCCGCCCGCCTCAGCCTCCCAAAGTGCTGGGATTACAGGCGTGAGCCACTGTGCCCAGCCTCATATTGCTTCTTTGAAGCAAATTGCAAAGAAAGCTCTAGAGAATCCATTTGTCTCCTATTAAGCTCAACATGAGAGACTTTAAATAATATAAACAAATGACACACTTTTTACTCAACTTTTTGTTGTAGAAAAGTTTTTTTTCAATGAAAAACTTCTGTTAACAATACTGTTCTCAAGGAATATTTTCTGTTTTTATAACCTGGGTCATGGGTTACTACTGACATCTAGTTGGTAGAGGCCATGAATACTGCTAAACTCTCTGCAATGCACAAGACAGTCCTCACAACAAAGCATTATCTAGCCCATAATATCAACAGTGGTAAGGCTGTGAAATCTAAACTAAAAATAGATTTTGAAAAAATTTCAATTGTATAATTCTACCACACTAAATATCAATATAATCAATATAAACATATACTCTTTGAGATTCTCAATCATTTAAGAATTATGAGAGTCTTAAGGAACAAAGAAAATACAAATAATTTGCTTCGATATTTTAGTAGGCACAATACAGCTTATGATGTCTAGAGCTGTGACCTAACACTGAGCTTGATATCTTGCAAAGTAATTAGCTAGAATAACAAGACAGGTTTCTAAAAAGCTCACCTTTGTGTGATATGATGAGGTATCTCCAAGGTCACACTGTGGAAGGAAAAAAAATTCATAACAATAGATGTTATCATTTGTTAGGCCTGAAGACATTTTTTAAAAGGGGGGCAGAGGAAACTCTCCTAGCGGCCCTGAAATTCAAATCTTCTAGTTCAGAACAGTACCATAAGGGCACTTTGTTTTCATTTCTTTGTTTTTTACAAAAATATGAGAACCAAAATGCAAGGAAATATGCCGTTAGAAGACGCGTTTCTGTTGGTGATTACAATATATAAATAATAACAGATTTCCCTTTTATATGCTTTTCTACCGATGAAACCTTTCGTCCCATGCGATTTATTTTATGTATTTATTTATTTTTTGACCCAGAGTCTGTCTCTCTTGCTCAGACTGGACTGCAGTGGTGCCATCTTGACTCCTCACAACCTCCACCACCCAGGTTCAAGCGATTCTCACGCCTCAGCCTCCCAAGAAGCTGGGACTACAAGTTTGCGCCACTATGCCCAGATAATTTTTTTTTTTGGGGGGGTGGTGGGTGGAGTTTCGCTCTTGTTGCCCAGGCTGGAGTGCAATGGTGTGATCTCGGCTCACCACAACCTCTGCCTCCCGGGTTCAAGAGATTCTCCTGCCTCAGCCTCCCAAGTGGCTGGGATTACAGGCATGTACCACCACACCCAGCTAATTTTGTAGAGTGAGGCTCAAAACAACTGAGGGAAGGTAAATCTCAATTCTACTAATAGGTCTACACAATATTAGCACTTTTTAAAAAGCCTGTAACATTAGCATGTGAGATGGATATGTCTATAGTGCTTCAAGTAGTTTTCATCTCTGAAATAATTTTAAAATCACAGAATTTAAAGTTACATGCTGGAAAGGACCAATGACCTTATGTGACATTTAATTCAACACTTGTTTTACAGATCAGGGAAACAAACCTTAAAACTGACTTGCCCAAGGTCCCACCAAATAGGAGCAGTTTCTCGTCCTAAACTCAAATTAAGCAGTGGCTCTCAAACTTTGCTGCACATTAAAATCACCTGAGAAGCTTTAATATCTGCCTCATCTTCCACATGAGACATTTTAATTTAATTAGTATTGGGTATGGCTTTGGGCATCAAGGTTCTTGGTAAACGTTTCCCAGGTGATTTCAATCAGCAGCAAAGTTTGGAATGATTGAGCTGGGGTGAAAATCAGAATCTTCTGGGATGCTTTTCTTCACAGAAAGATGCCTCACATCCATCCCGATTTTCCTAAAAGGCTTCTCAGTGCCTAGAGATAGAGGGAAAGTGGAGATGGGAAGATACATGTATTTGCAGACTTGCATTTTGAAAAAAACCTTGCATAAGTGATCTCAGCGAGTTCCACCTATCCCACTGACAACAGTGCACTACTGATTCATGATAAAACATTTTTCAAAATATCTTCTTGAAGCCAATTTGCCCTATTAATTTGTTCAATAACTTTATTTCACCAATAGTGAATACACCAAATGATCATTTCTCAAACTTGCTGGTGGCAAATTAAAACTTACTATACTCTCAAAAGTAGACTTCTAAAAAGTAGAATAATGAGGAAAAAAGCACGAAATTTGTTTCAGCAAAATTAATCTTCAAAGCTGCTTTTGAATTATATGCTAACTTATCAAAATCTTTGGAACTCAGAAGAAGCCAGGGACTCTAGTCAAAGTAATTTTTGTGTATGTGTGCTCAAAGATTTAAGAGACTTGGCTGACTACAGACATTTAGTGATTACTCAATAGGTCCCAAAGCTCAGGACTTGAGACAGAGTTTGAGTTCAGTTTTTGTTTGAAACACAATTTCCTCTCAACTATTGTTAAAAGGGAGGGAGGAAAGTGACATTATTATGAGTGTAAACTTGCCACTTTTAATTGAAGTAAAAGTTATTGACAATTGAATTAGCTAAAAAGGCTAGTGCATTTGAAACAAAATTGTTTATAAGCTAGTTATGTTTACAGAATGAAAAGTTAAATTAAAGATAAAGACATTAATATTCTAAATTAGCACTTTCCAAACTGTGTTCTAAAAATCAAGACTAATAACCCAAGGAGATGAGAATAATGTACACTGGACGGCCCCTGTGGAGCTGGTGGTGGTGTTGGTTGTTGTTCCTTTTAAAATAAACTTCATCTCAGGGTGCTCTCAAAGCGCATCGTGGTCCACGAGGTGCTCATGCACAATGGGAGAAATTCAAATGCAGATACACTGTGGTGCCAGAAGAAGAAAAGCTGTTCCTTCTTCCAAGGATAATGTCCAAAGTAGTGCACACTGATTTGGGCCTATGATGCATTGAAAAACTAAGTTTCCACAAAAAACATTCAATAAAGGGAACCTATCCTTCTCACTGTGTTCAACATTGTCTAAAGGCATAAAGGCATCAAAAAGACACACTGTTTCTGGGTTTGCTTCTTTGCTAACTGATTTTTCCTTCCACCACGACGTCTAAGATTAAAAGAGAAACTGATACTTAATATTGAGAATCTGGATATCAATATATGGTTGACTCCAATTTCTTAAGCTGATTGCTGAAGAGGACAACCAAATGGCTGAAATAATTTCCGAATAAAGGAATCTGTCCCTCGGCAGCATAGTTGTACTCACGATATTATTGTCATTGTAAGATAATGCTGGATGGCTGTGCTGTCATCAAGGAATATTGTCGAACACGAGCTGTATTGTTGACTGAAACGCTCAGTAGATACCTGAAGGGGAAGGGAAGTGTAAGTCAAACTTATCAAAGTGTATTTTTTTCTCAGTTAAAATGTCAAATGACAAAGCACTAAGATATGTCTTACACTCCATGAACTGCCTGAGTGTGGTATCATGTGCACTCTATAGAAAACACATTGGAGGCTCTCAACTTCCAGAGATGATGTTTAAGATATGGGTTATAAAATGCTGCCCTTAATATGGTACCTGTCATCAAACCTAACAAGGATTTTATGAATTACCGTTAAAAATAATGGGAAAAGTCGGCTTCGCCGGGCGCGGTGGCTCACACCTGTAATCCTAGCACTTTGGGAGGTGGAGGCGGGCAGATCACGAGGTCAAGAGATCGAGACCATCCTGGCTAACATGGTGAAACCCCGTCTCTACTAAAAATACAAAAAATTAGCCGGGCGTGGTAGCAGGCCCCTGTAGTCCCAGCTACTCGAGAGGCTGAAACAGGAGAATGGGGTGAACCCAGGAGGCAGAGCTTGCAGTGAGCCGAGTTCGCGCCACTGCACTCCAGGCCGGGAGACAAAGTGAGACTCCGTCTCAAAAAAAAAAAAAAAAAAGAAAGAAAAGTTTAAAATGAGATTTCATATTTTTTTCTACAGCAATAAAAAGCAGCCAAGAATTTCTATTAATTAATTAATTAATTTATTTATTTATTTATTTATTTTTGAGACGGAGTCTCGCTCTGTAGCCCAGGCTGGAGTGCAGTGGTGCGATCTCGGCTCACTGCAAGCTCCGCCTCCCGGGTTCACGCCATTCTCCTGACTCAGCCTCCTGAGTAGCTGGGACTACAGGTGCCCGCCACCATGCCCGGCTAACTTTTTGTATTTTTAGTAGAGACGGGGTTTCACCGTGTTAGCCAGGATGGTCTCGATCTCCTCACCTCGCGATCTGCCTGCCTCAGCCTCCCAAAGTACTGGGATTACAGGCGTGAGCCACGGCGCCCAGCCCTTCTATTATTTATTTACTACGATAAAATGTAGTGTATTAAATAATCCTGCTACAAGAGCATTTTATTGCAGTGAATACAAGATTAATGCATTTACTAAATTACTAATCCTAAATGTATTATTTCAGGTGATATTGTTACAAAAGAAGTGTTTCAGATTCAGGGGCTCTGTGTGCCAGGGCTGCTAGGCCACCAACAAGTGAGGAAGCCATAGGTTTCTCTAGTCCTATTTTCTTATGTGGAGGATAAAAAGAGTATCACTTAAATATTCTCTCACACCCTAAAAACAAATGACAACTTAAAAAATCTAACTTTCACTTCATGTTTAAATAAGACTGCCAAGACATGACTCAAATGAGACTCTTGGAGAATACTTTGCATTCACTTCAAAACTTGATCAATTGCATTCTATAAATCATCTGACCTGCACCTAGCCATTTTCCTGCTCTACCCCTGCTCTCTGCCTAGAATACTGCTTTTCTCTTTCCTTGCTTCAGCAAGCTCGACTCCATCTACCCTCTTGGATCTCTTTGTCGGCAGCCACACCAAAAAATGTATTTTTATACACTAATTAGTTGAATTCACCACTGCTTACAAGATGCTAATTGCTGCAGAGTATTCCCCTCATGAGAAAGTATGCCTCTCCATAAGAGTAAGGGAGGGCCCTTACTCTTCCTACCTCCAGCTGCTGAGCATAGAATTTTGAGTAAATCCAAAACTTCGACAAGTGTTTGACAATTCAGTCATCATTTGGAAGGTAAGTCTTACTACATTTAATTACAGCAAAAACACTACTAACAGTTTACTCTTTATAGGTATTATTTAAGGTAGTCACAAAATAGAAACAAATAATCTAACGTCAGTCAGCATAAATGAGAGTATGAAATTTTACAATATTTAACAAGAAATGGAAGGGGTTACTTAGTAGTTTTAAGGTTTAATGACAAAAACTAGAAAATAATCGTACCTAGTAATTTAGTAAGTCAAAACCAAAGCCTTACCATCAAAGGTGCAGTACCCATTGGATGCGGATGCCCACGCACTGACTTCTGCTGTACCTGCTGCCTCTCATTTTAACCCATTAAAAATACTAAAGTTGTTTTCCTTGTAGACATCTTTCACCTCCTTGGTTAGGTCTATTCCGAAGTATTTTATTTTATTTTAGTTTATTTTTGCAGCTATCAGAAAAGGGGTTGAGTTCTTGGTTTGATTCTAAGCTTGGTCGCTTCTGGGGTATAACAGAGCTACTGATTTGTGTACATTAATTTTGTCTCCTGAAACTTTGCTGAATTCATTTATCGGTTCTAGGAGCTTTTTGGAGGAGTCTTTAGGGTTTCCTAGGTATATGATCATATCATCATCAAACAGCAACAGTTTGACTTCCTCTTTACTGATCTGCATGCCTTTTATTGTTTTCTCTTGTGTGATTGCTCTGGCTAGGCCTTCCAGTAGTATGTTGAATACAAGTGGTGAGAGTGGGCATCCTTGTCTTGTTCCAGTTCTCGGGGGGAATGCTTTCAACTTTTCCCCCTTTCAGTATTATGTTGGTTGTGGGTTTGTCATAGATGGCTTTTATTACATTGAGCTATGACCCTTGTATGCTGATTTTGCTGAGGGTTTTAATCATAAAAGGATGCTGCATTTTGTCAAATGCTTTTTCTGCATCTGTTAAGATGATCATGTGATTTTTTGTTTTTAATTCTGTTTATGTGGTGTATCACATTTATTGACTTGTGTATGTTAATCCATCCCCGCATCCCTGGTATGAAACCCATTTGATCATGGTGGATTATCTTTTTTTTATTTTTTGAGATGGAGTCTCGCTCTGTTGCCCAGGCTGGAGTATGCAATGCGGTGATCTTGGCTCACTGCAACCTCTGCCTCCGAGGTTCAAGCGATTCTCCTGCCTCAGCCACTCGAGTAGATGGGATAACAGGTGAGCGCCACCACGCCCGGCTAACTTTTGTATTTTTAGTAGAGATGGGGTTTCACCATGTTGGCCAGGCTGGTCTCGAACTCCTGACCTCATGATCCGTCCGCCTCAGCCTCCCAAAGTGCTGGGATTACAGGTGTGAGCCACCGTGCCTGGCCCGATTATCTTTTTGATATGCCGTTGGGAACTACAAAACATTGCTGAATGAAGTCATGGACACAGACAAATGGAAAGACACCCCATGCTCATGAATGGGTAGAATGAATATTGTGAAAATGACCATACTGCCAAAAGCAATCTACAAATTCAATGCAACTCCCATCAAAATACCACCATCCTTCTTCACAGAACTAGAAAAAACAATCCTGAAATTTATATGGACCAAACAAGAACCGGCACAGCCAAAACAAAACTAAGCAAAAACAACAAATCTGGAGGCATGACATTACCTGATTTCAAACTATACTATAAGGCCATAGTCGCCAAAATAGCACGGTACTGATATAAAAATAGGCACATACACCAATGGAACAGAATAGAGAACCCAGAAATAAACTCAAATACCTATAGCCAACTGATTTTCAACAAAGCCACCTAAAACATAAAGTGAAGAAAGT